>NC_000023.11:78826178-79129208 GCF_000001405.40 Homo sapiens | reverse complement strand
ATATAAACTGTATATTTAGGCTACACTAAATGTATTCAAAATATTTTTTTCTTCAATAAGTTAACCTTAACTTACTGTAACCTTTTTACTTTACAGACTTTTTAATTTTTAAACATTTCGACTGTTTTGTAATAACACTTGGTTTAAAATACGAACACTTTGTACAGCTATACAAAAGTATTTTCTTTCTTTATGTACTTTGTCTATAGGCTTTTTTTCTATTTTTTTTTTTTTTTTACTTTTCAAACTTTTGTTAAAAACTAAAGTCACAAAACATGCACATTAGCCTAGACCTCCAAAAGGTCGAGATCATTAATATCATTGTCTTCCACCTCCACCTCTTGTCCCACTGGAAGATCTTTAGGGACAATAACATGCAGGGAGCTGTCATCTCCTATGATAACAATGTCTTCTTCTGGAATACCTCCTGAAGTACCTGCGTGAAGCTGTCTTACAGTTAATCATTTTTATAAGTAGAAATATATGCTAAAATAAAGACAGTATATACATCCTAAAATGAGTAGAATATATACATAAATCATAAAATAGTCATGTGTTATAATTATTAAATATTATGTAATTTACATAATTGTATGTGCTATACTTTTATATGACTGGCAGAGCAGTAGGTTTGTTTACACTAGATCACTCAAAACATATGAGTAATGCATTGCACTATGATGTTTTGATGCCTATAATGTCACCAGGTGATAGGAATTTTTAGCTCTGTTATAACTTTATGAGAATACATTCATATATCTTGTCTATTGTTGACTGAAATATTATTATGTGGTTCATGACTGTATATACAAAGGTGGAATTGCTGGATCCTATGTGTTAAACCTTTGACCTCTTGAAGAATTGGCAGACTGTTTGCCAAAGTAGCTGCACTAATAAACAATCCCACCAGTAATATATAAGGGATCCAGTTACTCCATATCCTTGTTAACACTTGTTGTCTCTCTTTTGCATTATAATCATCCTAGTGAGGGAGAACAGGTACCTTCTTATGTCTAGATTTGCATTTTCCCCAGTGGCTAGTGATGATACTGAGCATCTTCATATGGGTATTGGCTATTTGTTTATCTGCATTACAGAAATGTCTATTAATGTTCTTTACCAACTTTTTATTCATTTACTTGTCTTTTTCTATTAAATTATAAGAGTTCTTTATATATTCTGGATAAAAGACATGTAGGAGATATATAATTTGTAAATGTGTCCCCCCAGTGTATGAATTATCTTTTCATTTTCTTGATTGTGCCCCTTGAAATATAAAGATTTTTCATTCTGATAAAGTCCAACTTGTCAGTGTTCTCTTCTATCATTTATACCTTCCTCTGTTGTAACCAAGAAGATATTGTCTAAACCAAAAACATAATATATTGCTATGCTTTCTGCTAAGATTTTTATATGTTACCTATTACATTTAGGTCTATGATCCATTTTTATTTCATTTGTTTATATCTCATACTTTTACATGTAGACATCCAGTTCTCCCAGCACCATTTGTTTAAAAGGGCTATTTTTCTGCAGTAAATTGTCTTTGCCATAGATGTATGGGTTATGTCCAAACTCTCAAACCTATTCCATTGACTAATATATCTATCCCTATGCGAGTGACACATTGTCTTGATGGCTATTGCTTTCTATTAAGTTTTGCAATCTGGAATTGTGATTTCTCCAAATTCATTCTTCATTTTCAAGATCATGGATGACTTTTCTTTATTTAACTTACCTATAATTATTTTCATGATATTTTACAGTTTTCAATGCATTTCTTTGTTAAATTTGCACTTCTTTGTTAAATTTATTCCTAAATTTCTTTATTGTTTTAAATTTTTTACAAATTATTCATATTATATAAATTGTATATAAATGACTATAAGGGAAATTGTATTCTTAATTTCATTTCCAGGTAGTTCATTGCTAGAGCATAGAAGTATAATTGATTTTTGTGTATTGAACTTGTATGAGGCAATCTTGCTGAACTGCTTTCTTAGAACTATTAGAACTATTATTAGCTCTAATAATTTTGTAGTAGATTCCTTTTCTTTGTATAGGTGTTGTCAATTGTGAATATAGTTTTTTAAATTTTTTAAACTTTTATTTTGGGTTTGGAGGTTCAAGTGAAGATTTGTTACATAGATAGACACTTGTCATGGAGGTTTGTTGTACATATTATTTCATCACACAGGTAGTAAGTCCAGTACCTAATACTTATCTTATCTGCTCCTCTCCTTCCTCCAACTCTCAGGTAGAACCCAGTGTCTTTTGTTTCCTTCTTTGTGTTCATAAGTTCTTATCATTTAGCTCCCAATTATAAGTGAGAACATGCGATATTTGGTTTTCTGTTGCTGCATTATTCTGCTAAGGGTAATAGCCTCCAGATCCATCCATGTTCCCGCAAAAGACATGATCTCATTACTGTTTTATGGCTGCATTTCATGTTGTATGTGTACCACATTTTCTTTCTCCAATTTGTCATTGTTGGGCATTTAGGTTGATTTCATTTCTTTGCTACTGTGAATAGTGCTGCAGTGAACATTCACATGTGTGTGTCTTTATGGTAGAATGATTTATACATCCTTCTTTCTAATCTGGATGGCTTTTCTTTCTTTTTTCCTATTTGCTTTGACTAGGACCTCCAGGATAATGTTGAATATAAGTGGTGAGAGTGGACATCCATATCTTGTTCCCAATCTTGGGGGAATGACATTCATACTTTCACCCTTTCATCATGAATATAATTTTAGCTGTGAGTTTTTTATAAATGTTCTTTAACATGTAGAGAAAGTGTTTTCTCCTATTTGGTTGGGAATTTTTGTCTTGGTAAGGTATTGGATTTTGTCAAATGATTTTTCTGTGTCTGTTGAGATGTTTATGTCTTTTTCCCTTCAATCGATATAATATATAACATTGATTTTCAGATGTTAAAACAATCTTCCATCCTGGGATAAATTCTATTTGTTAATAGCTTATAATCCATTTTATATTTTTTTGAATTTCATTTGTGTCTATATTTATAAAGTATATTAGTTAGTTGTTTTATTTTCTTCTGATATCTTCATCTGGCTTTGAATGCAGGGTAATGTTGGCCTCATGGAACGGGTTGGGAAGTGCTTCCTTCACTTCTAATATTTGGAAGACTGGGAAAAGGATTGGTATTTGTTTTTTAAACATTTGATATAATTCACCAGTGAAGCCATGATGTACTGAGCTTTGCTTTGTAAAAAGTTGTTGATTATTTTTATTTTTTATTATTGTTATGATTAATTCATACTCTAAGTTTGTTATATAGGTCTCTGCAGAGTTTCTGTTTCTTCCCAAGTCAGTTCTATAGTTTGTGTCTTGCTAGAAATGTTTCCATTTTATCGAAGTTGTCTAATTTGTTTCTAATTTGCCATAGAGTTGTTAACAGTATGATTTTATAGTCCATTATATTTTCATAATTGATTGCATATTTTATCTGTAATTTTAGTAATTTGAGTCTTCTTTTTTTCTTGATTAGTATACATAAAAGTTTGTCAATTTTTTTAATTTTTTCAAAGAACCAACTTTTAGTTGCATTTATTTTCTCTATTGTTTTCCTATTCTTTCTTTTATTAACTTCTACTCTTATATTTCTAATTTTCTTCCTCCTGATTGCTTTAGGTTTAGTTTGATCTTCTTTTTCACTGCCTTAAGGTGAAATATTAGGTTATTAATTTGAAAATGTTTTTACATGTAAGAGCTTATGGCTATACATTTCCCTCCAAGCACTACTTTAGCTCCATCTCATAAATTTTGGCATGTTTGTGGGGTTGTTGTTTTACCTCTCATTCAACTCCAAGTAATTTCTATTTTTTTCATGTTATTTTTCTCTCCGACCCATTGGTTATTCATGAGTCTGTTGTTTAATTTATACATACTTTTAAATTTACAAAATATTCTGCATTATCTATTTATAATTTGATTCCATTGTGGTCAAAGTGCATACTTTGTATGGTTTCAATAATTTTAAATTCACTATGGCTTGGCTTATGGCCAAGCATAGCTTCATCCTGGAGAATATTCCATGCCCACCTGAAAAAAATAATGTTCTGTGCTATTGTTTGTAGGAATTCTCTATAAATGTCTATTATAGTGTTGCTGACATCTTCTATTTCTTTGTTGATTTTTTTTGCCTAATTCTTTTATCAGTTATTGAAAGGGGAGTATTAAACCCTCCAACCATTATTCTTAAATTACCTATTTCTTCCTTCAATTCTTTCAGTTTATGCGACATGTATTTTACAGTCCTCTTGTTAGATGCAAGCATGTTCACAATTATTTTGGTTTACTGATGAATCGACCCTTTTCATCATTATGAATGTCCTTCTTTATCTTTAGTGACAATATTTATGTTAATGTCTGTTTTGTCTGATCTTAGTGTAACTCTCTAGCTCTTTTTTGGTTAATGACTTCTATGGTATATGTTTTTCCATTCCTTTACTTTCACCCTACTTGTAGCTTTGAACTTAAAGTGTGTTTCCTGTAGACAGAATATACTTGGATATTTTTTCTATTTAATTAAATCTGCCAATCATTTTATTTTGATTAGATAGTTTACTCCATTTAAATTTAATGTTATCATTGATATATTTGGATATTTGTTTGCAACTTACTAATATTTTCCATGTCTCCTGTATTTTGTGTTTCTTTCTTCTTTCAATACTATGTTTTGTATCAAATATTTCTGAATTTACCACTTTAATTATTTTACAGATCCTTAACTATATTTTTAAAGTTATTTGCTTATTGATAGTTCTAGGGCTTAGAATATATATTTTAACTTACCAGAGTCTGCTTTAGATTTATACCATTTCAATTCTAGTAAAATGTAGAAATATTACTCCTACATAGCTTCATTTCTTCTTTTATTTTTTGCATATATATATAACAAATCAATTATACCCAGTTATAATTATTACTTTATATAATCATATTGCTTCTAAAGAAGCTAGAAGCAAGAAGAACACAAATATATTTATAGAGTTTTTAAACAGGTATAATAAACTGCTTTTTTTTTTTTTGAGACGGAGTCTCACTCTGTCACGCAGGCTGGAGTGTAATGGCATGATCTCGGCTCCCTGCAACCTCCACCTCCCAGGTTCAAGCAATTGTCCTGCCTCAGCCTCCCTAGTAGCTGGGACTACAGGCGCACACCACCATACCCAGTTAATTTTTGTATTTTTAGTAGAGACGACGGGGTTTCACCATGTTGACCAAGATGGTCTTGATCTCTTGACCTTGTGATCTGCCTGCCCCAGCCTCCCAAAGTGTTGGGATTACAGGCATAAGCCACTGCACCCCCCAATTAACCTGCTTTTTTTTTTTTAATCATTTCTGTTCTTTTCATTTCTTCCTGTGGATATTTAAAAACGTATTTTTAGATTCAGGGGCACATGTGCATGTTTGTTACATGGGTAAATTGCATACTGGTGGGGATTGGGCTTCTGATGTACCCATAACCCAAATACTTAACACTGTAACAAATAGGTAATTTTTGAACCCTTACCCCTTTCCCTTTCTTCCCATTTTTGAAGTTCCCAGTGTCTATTATTTCCATCTTTCTGTCCATGTGTAACTATTGTTCAGCTCCCACTTATAAGTGAGAACATGCTGTATTTAGTTTTCTACTTCTGAATTTGTTTACTTAGGATAATGACCTACAGCTGCATCCATGTTGCTGCAAAGGACACAATTTCATTTTCTATGGGTGCATAGAATTTCACAGTGTGTATATATCACATTTTCTTTGGCCAGTCAACCATTGATGGGCACTGAGGTTGGTTCCATGATTTTGCTGTTATGAATAGTGTTGCCATCAACACACAAGTACTACTGTCTTTTTGATATAATGATTTGTTTTCCTTTAGGAAGATATCCAGTGGTGCAATTGTTGGGTTAAACAGCACTACTTTTAGTTCTTTGAGAAGTCTATACACTGTTTTCCGTGGAGGTTGAACTCATTTATATTCACACTGACAATGTATATGGTCCCTTTTGTCTGCATCCATGCAAACATCATCTGTTGTTTTTTGACTTTTTAGTAATAGCCATTCTGACTGGTATAAAATAATATCTCATTGTTATTTTAATTTGTGTTTCTCTAATAATTAGCAATACTGAGCATTTTTAAAAGTATTTGTCTGTTCATGTCTTTTGTCCTGTTTTCAATTTTTTTCCTCTTGTTGAATTGTTTGAGTTCCTTGTAGATTTGGGGTATTAGCCTTTTGTCAGAGGCATAATTTGCAAATATTTTCCCCCATTCTATAGGTTTTATGTTTACTCTGTTGATTATTTCTTTTGATGTGCAGAAGCCTTTTAGTTTAATTATGTGCCATTTGTCTATTTTTGTTTCTGTTGCACTAGCTTTTGGGGTCTTTACAATAAATTCTTTGTATTGGCCAATGCCCAGAAGAGTTTTTCCTAGATTGTCTTGTAGGATTTTTATATTTCAGGTCTTACATTCAAGGCATTAAATCATCTTGAGTTAATTTTTGCATATGGTGAGAGATAGTGGTCCAGTTTCATTCTTCTGCAGATAGCAACCCAGTTTTCCCATTACTATTTATTAAATAGAGTGTCTTTTCCCCATTGTTTGTTTGTCAATGTGTCAAAAATCAGTTGGTTTTAGGTGTGTGGTTTTATATTTGGGCTCTTCATTCTATTCCATTGATCAATGCATTTGTTTTTGTACCAGTACCATGTAATTTGAGTTACTATAGCCTTGTAGTATAATTTGAAGCCAGATAGTGTAATGCCTCTGCATATGTTTATTTTGCTTAGGCATGTCTTCACTATCTGAAGTCTTTTTTTGTTTCCATAGAAAACTTAGGATTTTTTTCTAATTCTGTGAAAAATAACATTAGTGGTTTGATAGGGATTGCATTGAAACTGTAGATTGTTTTAAGCAGAATGGTCCTTTTTAACAATATTGATTGCCAATACCAATCAATATTGTTGGCAATACCAATCAATATTGTTGGCAATACCGATCAATATTGTTAAAAAGGAACATTCTGCTTAAAACAATCTACAGTTTCAATGCAATCCCTATCAAATAACTAATGTTATTTTTCATAGAATTAGAAAGAAATCCTCAATTTTATATGGAAACAAAAACACTTCAAATAGTGAAGGCATATAGGCATGGGCAAGGACTTCATGTCTAAAACACCAAAAGCAATGGCAACAAAAGCCAAAATTGACAAATGGGATCTAATTAAACTAAAGAGTTTCTGCACAGCACAAGAAACTACCATCAGAGTGAACAGGCAACCTACAGAATGGGAGAAAATTTTTGCAATCTACTCATCTGACAAAGGGCTAATATCCAGAATCTACAAAGAACTCAAAAAAATTTACAAGAAAAAAACAAACAACCCCATCAAAAAGTGGGCAAAGGATATGAACAGACAGTTCTCAAAAGAAGACATTTATGCAGCCAAAAGACACATGAAAAAATGCTCATCATCACTGGCCATCAGAGAAATGCGAATCAAAACCACTGTGAGATACCATCTCACACCAGTTAGAATGGTGATCATTAAAAAGTCAGGAAATAACAGATGCTGGAAAGGATGTGGAGAAATAGGAACACTTTTACACTGTTGGTGGGACTGTAAACTAGTTCAACCATTGTGGAAGTCAGTGTGGCGATTCCTCAGGGATCTAGAACTAGAAATACCATTTGACCCAGCCATCCCATTACTGGGTATATACCCAAAGGATTATCAATCATGCTGCTATAAAGACACATGCACATGTATGTTTATTGCGGCACTATTCACAATAGCAAAGACTTGGAACCAACCCAAATGTCCAACAATGATAGACTGGATTAAGAAAATGTGGCACATATACACCATGGAATACTATGCAGCCATAAAAAATGATGAGTTCATGTCCTTTGTAGGGACATGGATGAAGCTGGAAACCATCATTCTCAGCAAACTATCACAAGGACAAAAAACCAAACACCGCATGTTCTCACTCATAGGTGGGAATTGAACAATGAGAACATTTAGACACAGGAAGGGGAACATCACACACCAGGGCCTGTTGTGGGGTAGGGTGAGGGGGGAGGGATAGCATTAGGAGATATACCTAATGTTAAATGACAAGTTAATGGGTGCAGCACACCAACATGGCACATGTATACATATGTAATAAACCTGCACGTTGTGCACATGTACCCTAAAACTTAAAGTATAATAAAAGAAAATATATTGATTATTCCAATCAATAAGCCTAATCAATCATCTGCTTGTTCATAAAGCAAGTATCAATAAATTCAAAAATAATCCAAATCATATTAAGTATCTTGTCAGACCACAGTGGAATAAAATTAGAAATCAATGCCAAGAGGAGCTCTCAAATCTACACAAGTAGATGAAAGCAAAACAATTGCTCCCAAATGAACTTTGGGTAAACAATTAAATTGAGGCAGAAATAAATTATTTTTTGAAAACATGAAAATAGGCACAGCATACTAAAACTTCTGAAAAACAGCAAAATCAGTGCTAAGGTAGAAGTTTATAGCATTAAATGCCCACATCAGAAAGATGGAAAGATCTCAAATTAACAACCTAACATCAAACCTCAGGGAACCAGTAAAACAAGAACAATCCAAACCCAAAGCTAGCAGAAGTAAAGAAACAACAAAGATCAAAGCACAACTGAATAAAATTGAGACCAACGAAAGATACAACAAATCAATGAAACACAAAGTTGGTTTTTTGAAAGAATAAATACAATTGATGGGTTACTAGGTAGATTAACCAAGAAAAATCAAGATAAGATTCAAATAAGAACAAAGAAATTTGAAAGAGGACATTACAACTGATACCACAGGAAAACAAAAGATCATCATGGATGCTATGAATACCTATCAACATCAGGACAGCTATGCACACGAACTAGAAAACATAAAGGAATTGAATAAATTCCTGGAAATATACAATCCTCCAAGATTCACCCAGAAAGAAACAGAAATCCTGAACAGACTAATAATGAGTAATGAAATTGAATCAGTAATAAAAACCCTTACAACAAAAAAAGCCCAGGGCCGGGAGTATTCACAGCCAAATGTTACCAGATGTACAAAGAAAGCCTAGTACCAATCCTACTGAAACTATTCCAAAAAAATTAAGGGAGAAGGATTCCTGCCCAACTCATTCTATGAAATCGGTATCACCTTGATACCAAAATCAAACAAGGACACAGCAAAAAAAGAAAACTAAGGGCCAATATCCCTGCTAACATTGATGCAAAAATCTTCAACATAATACTAACTGAATGCAACAGCACATCAAAACTGAATACAAACTGAATGCAACATAATACAAACTGAATACAACTGAATACAAACTGAATGAATACAACAACACATCAAAAAATAATTCATCACAATTGAGTGGGTTTTACTCCAGGGATCCAAGGATGGTACAATATCTGCAAATCAAAAAATGTGATTCATCTCATAAACAGAACTAAAAAGGAAAAAAAAAACATATGATCATCTTAATAGATGCAGAAAAGGCAGTCAATAAAATCCAGTATATTTTCATGACAAAAATTTTCATCAAATTAAACCTTGGAAGAACATATCTCAAAATAATAAGAGCCATCTATGACAAACCAATACTGAATGGGGACAAGTTGCAAGCATTCTCCCTAAGAACTGAAATAAGGCAAGGTTGTCCAGCCTCAAGACTCCTATTAAACATGGTACTGGAAGTACTAGCCAAAGTAGTCAGGAAAGAGAAAAAAATAAAAGGCATCCAAATTTGAAAAGAGGAAATCAAATTATCTATGTTCCCTGATGACATGATCATATACACAGAACATCCTAATGACACCTCCAAAGGCTCCTAGACTTCATAAACACATTTTTGTAAAGTTTCAGGACACAAAATTAACATACAAAAATCAGTAGCATTTCCATGCACCAATAACACTCAAGCTGAGAATCAAATCAAGAACTCAATCCCATTCACTATAGACACACACACACACACACACACACACACACACACACACACACACAAATACCTAGGAATACATTTAACCAAGGAGGTGAAAGATCTCTGTAAGTAGAACTACAAAACACCTGATGGAAGATATAAACGACACAAACAAGTGAAAAACAGCCCATGCTCATGGATTGGAAGAATCAATGTCCTTCCTTTAATTTGAATTATTACTTAAAATAATTTTCTTACTGTCATACAGTTATTCTCAATATCTTAAATAAATATATGTTTATAATCTCTATAATACAATTACATGCATACTGTTTTATGCACTTGCTTTTTAAATTATTTCAGGAAAGGAAATATATATGTAATCATGCTGTCACTTTTGCTTACTCATATAACTGTCTTTATTTAAGTTCTTTGGTTTTATATGTGGATTTGAATTATAATCTAGTATTGCTTTCCTTCAGCCTGAAGAACTTAATTAGTAATTTTTTTCAAGGCATGTCTTCCAGAAAGAAAATATCTGTTTTAGTTTTTCTGGCAATGTTCTTAATTTTTTCTTCATATTTGAAGGATATTATTGTTGGATACTTAATTTCTCAGTGTCATTTTTCTTTCTCTCTCAGCATTTTAAATATGTCATCTCACTGCCTCATGGCTTCTATTGTTCCTGATGTGAAGTTCATTTTTAATTTTATTGTGGCTTCTTGAACATGAGTAATTGTTTTTCTCTTACTGCTTTCATTATTTTCTTTTTACCTTTGGCTTTCAACATTTTGACCATGATGTGGCTGGTTGAGGACTTCTTTCTTTTCTTCATTCTTGGAATTCACTGAATTTCTTGGATTTGAAGATTAGCGTTTTTTATCACATTGGTAAAGTTTACAGGCATCATTTAAATTTTTTTTCTGTACATGTATTGTTTACTCTCCTTTTGGAATTTCCCTTATGTATATATTTCTCTGCTTCATTACGTCCCACTTTTCTCGGAGGCTCTTTTAATTTTTCTTCTTTCCTTTTTCTTCCTGTTCTTCAGATTGCATAATCGCTATTGATCTATCGTAAAGTTTACAGATTCTTTAATCTGAGGACTAAATGTGTACTTGAGCCCCTCTAGTAAATTTTTTCTTTGTTTATCTTAGTTTTCTTGCTCAGATTTTTCATTTTTATAATTTTTTTATTATTTGCTTATTGATATAACATTTTCATGTCTTCATTTAATGCATTAAACATAGTTTTTTAAAGTTATTTGCACATATTTATAATAGCTGCTTTGACATCTTGGCTAAGAGCTCTCCAAGATGCTCTACAAGATTCTTTCTAATACTTGTTTTATTTCCTGCGTATAGATCACATTTTCCTATTTCTCTACATATTGTGAATTTTCTGTGGAAAACTAGAACAAATAATAGTTACTCTGGATACTGAGGTCCTTTTATTTCTGGCATGGGCTGCTTTTGTTATTTGTTTGACCACTCATTATTTTGTTAGTGACTTGGTTGCACTGTTTCTGTGATGTCTATTTTTCCTGCATTGTTCAGTGTCTGGCGTCCCTCCTCAGATGCCCTCCCCATTTTACCTCATTTAGCCTGGGTTCCCTGGTTCAGAATAAACCACTTATAGTTGGACTTAAGCCTTTGAGTCAGTTAGATTTTCACTCCACTCCAATGTGTGTGCATGGCTTGGAGATTGTTCTACTATTCAGGGGACTTGCATTTGCTTCATTTTCGTTCTGGAACAAATGGTTTAGAAAACCCTTCCATGGCCACCCCTGAGAGAAATTCCCTCTCTTGTTACAATCTTGGGCATGTACAGTCTTCCAGACCACCAATGTTGATTGTGATCTTATTTTTATGCCTAGATTCTTAGTAGCCACCATGAAGTGACTCAGTAGTAACCACAGAATAGTTTATTATTCAGTCAGTAATTGGCCAGAGGTTGTGCTTAAGCCCCTTGAGCCAGTAAGCTTTCACTTTCTACTGATTGTTCAGTGTGTGGCTTGAGGGATGTTTTCAAGTTGGCCTATATCCTGCTCTGATGATATATTTTTTGGCTCTGTGTCCCCATCCAAATCTCATCTCAAATTGTAATCCCAATGTGTCAAGGGAGGGAGATGATTCAATAACTGGAGCAATTTACCCCATTCTGTTTTCATGATAGTGAGTTAATTCTCATGAGATCTGATGGTTTTATAAGGAGCTCTTCCTCCTTTGCTGTCGCTTCCCTCCATCCTGCCTCCTTGTGAAGAAGGTGCATGCTTCTGTTTTCCCTTCCACCATGATTGTAAGTTTCCTGAGACCTCCTCAGCCATGTGGAACTGCGAGTCAATAAAACCTCTTTTCTTTATAAATTACCCAGTCTCAGGGAGTTCTTTATAGCAGTGTGAAAATAGATTAATACAGTAAAGTGAAAACGGATTAATACAGTAAATTGGTACCTTGGAGATAGAGATAGTGCTATAAGGATAACCTGAAAATGTGAAAGCAGCTTTGGAACTGGGTAAGAGGTGGAGGTTGCAACAGTTTGGAGGACTCAGAAGAAGACAGGAAGATGTGGTAAAGTTTGGAGCTTCCTGGAGACTTGTTGAATGGTTTGGACCAAAATGCAGATAATGATGTGGACAATGAAGTCCAGGCTGAAGCAGTCTCAGATGGGGATGAGGAACTTCTTGGGAACTTAAGCAAAGATCACTCTTGCTAAGTTTTAGCAAAGGGACTGGTGGCATTTTGCCCCTGCCCTAGAGATCTGTGTAACTTTGAACTTGAGAGACATGATCTGAAATTGGAACTTTTTTTTTCTTAGAAAATGTTTTTATTACTCTGAAAGGAACTTTGGAATTAAATCAAAAAATGAATTGCAGCCCCTCGCAGCTTAGAAGTTTTGTTTAGATTATTAAAAAGACTTAGCTAGTGTTAGTGAAATTAAAATGAAGAATATGCAGTTCCTGTTCAATATAAAATCTATACAAGTTTCCATAAGTAAGTCATATACAAATACTTATTTGCATATCTTGTAAGATTTATTTCTATTACATATTATTAGAATAATGACATTAGAAAATGATCAGCCTCAATAGCTGTGGAAGAATTAGATGCAGATTTTAATATGAAATGCTTTAATCATGTGTGCATTCTCAAAGTTTTGTTTTCCATATTCCCTCCATATATTGTCAGAATTTGTTTGAAAAGTACATTATAATAAAATACCAAATAAAGTCACAGTAATACTATAAATTTAACTTTTTATTTCTAACTGTACTACATTTGACATGTCATTATAGTTACAATTACACATTATACATTATAGGGACTATCCGAGCCAAGTTTTGTTGAGCACCTAATTTGTGCAAAGCAGACACACTCTGAAGAAAATAAAAAATACATGACCTGTGTGCTCTAGGAGCTCAATTTAGTGGAAGAAACCAGTTCTGGCATAATTGAGGTTCACAAAACATGACCAGGGAATTTGTGTGAATAAGACTAATTCCTAGTATATGTACTTTTCCACCTTCATGCTGTGTGGAGAAACATTTCAAATAAATATTTTAGATTTAGGGTTAGGGGATATGAGGTGGGCAAAAGAGAATCACTATATCAAGCCTATAGCTGTACCAATGTTTAGAAAATATTTAAATCAACATAAATCATTTCATTTTGAAATGCAAAGAAAGACACAGGTTTGTACAAGAAGAAAAGTTCCAGAGGTATAGGTGCCTGAGGGTGAATGTAGTCTCTTTTAAAGGGGAAGCCTCATAAAACATTTATCTCTTGGCTGTATGGCCGGAAACGTCAGGCTCAGGTAACATTTGTTAATGATTATCAAAGTGCAGAATTGTTTTGGAATGTGTCTAAAGCTAATTTTCAAAGCAGGAATAAAATATGAAATTCATTGAGAAGACAACAATTATTTGAAAACGAAAGGGAAAAATAATGAGTGAGAGAGAAAATATACAATTCTACAAGTAGCTGAGTTTTTCCCCTCAATATTTTAGTTTCTGATTATCTGGAATATTTTCCAATGAATTCACTTCTCTGTATTAACAAGCAACATAAAATAGTGCATTCATTTTATTTTTTGTGCATTTGTCTGACAAAAATTGGACCTTATTTTTAAAAGGAAAGCAGCACATAAAAGTCTGGAAAAGTTGCAATCTGACTATGCAATAGGAAAGAAAAACCCATTTTCTGGGGAGAAATTTAAGCCTGCTGCAGAAATGTTCAGAAGTAACGAAGTGCCAAATATTAATCTTCAATACAAAGGGGAAAAATATCTCCAGGGCATGTCACAGATTTTGGTGGCAGCCCCTCCCATCACAGGGTCAAGGCAGAAATGGATTCGTGGGCCAGACCCAGGACCCTGCTTCTTTACACAGTCTCAGAACTCGGTGCCCTGCATACCAGCCATGGCTAAAAGGGGTTAACATACATCTCAGGCCATTGCTTCAGTGGTGCAGCCTCAGCACTTTGTGCCCTGTGTCTCAGCCACTCCAGTTCCAGCCATGGCTAAAAGGGGCCAAGGTACAGCTCAGGCTGTAGTTTCAAAGGGTGCAAGCCCAAAGCCTTGGAGGCTCCCACATGGTGTTGGGCCTGCAGGTGCACAGAAGTCAAAAATTGAGGTTTGGGAACCTCTGATGAGATTTCAGAGGATGTATGGAAATGCCTGGATGTCCAGGCAGAAGTCTGCTTTAGGGGTGAAGTCCTCATGGAGAACCTCTGATAGGGCAGTCTGGAAGGAAAATGTGGGGAGCCTCCACACAGAGTCCTTACTGGGGAACTACCTAGTGGAGCTGTGAGATGAGGACTACCATCCTCCAGACCCTAGAATGTTAGATACACCAAGAGCTTACACCATGCTCCTGGAAAAGCCACAGACAATGCCAGCCTGTGAAGGCAGCTGGGAGCAGGGGGCTGTACCCTGCAAAGCCACAGTGGTCAAGCTGCCCAATACTATGGGAGCCCACCTCTTGACCTGGATGTGAAACATGGTCTCAAAGAAAACCATGTCAGAGCTTTAAGATTTAATGACTGCCCCACTGAGTTTTCAAATTGCATTGGGCCTGTGCTGTGGCCCCTTAGTTTTGGCCAATTTCTCCCATTTGGGATGGAAACATTTACCCAATGTCTGTACCTCCATTGTATCTTGTAAGTAACCAGCTTGCTTTTGATTTTACAGGGTCATAGGCAGATGGGACTTTATGGTCTCAGACAAGCCTTTGGACTGTGGACTTTTGAGTTAATGCTGAAATGAGTTAAGACTTTGGGGGACTGTTGAGAAGGCATGATTGGTTTAGAAATGTGAGGATATGACATTTGGAAGGGCCCAGGGTTGGAATGACATGGTTTGTCTCTGTGTCCCCACCCAAATCTCATCTCGAATTGTAATCCCCACTTGTTGAGGAAGGGACATGTAATCTCCATGTGTTGGGGGAGGGAGATGATTGGCTCATAGGGGCCATTTCCACCATGCTTTTATTGCGATAGTGAGTTAGTTTTCATGAGATCTGATGGTTTTTATAAGAGGATCTTCACCATTCACTTTCTCTTCTCTCTCTCCTGCCACCTTCAGCCTGCTTCTGCTTCCACTTCCCCTTCTTCCATGAAGGTAAATTTCCAGAGGTTTCTCCAGCCATGTGGACCTGTAAATCAATTAAATCTCTTTCCTTTATAAATTACTCAGCCTCAAGGAAGTTTTTAATACCAGTGTGAAAACAGACTAATACAGATGCTTTATGAGAAGTACATGCACACAGTCTTTCCAACTCCTATAGTTTACTGTGATCCCAGAGGGCTCACCTTGGATGTCTCTTTCCCTAGTTATTTCTATTAAACCCCTGGATGTTCTGTTGTTTTGCTTATATCAGAGCTACCAGCTGCCTCTTAATTTGTGCTCACCAAATCTCATTTTTGACAAAGCCATCAGGCCTGGAGTTCTTTACTCTTTGTTCCAAAAATGTGGGTTTCCTTAAACAGAGCTGTTTTAATGACCTGCCTCTTTCAATGGGCAGATCTTCTGTGCCATTTCACAGGAGCTGAGGGTGGAGACAACAGTCTGTTTCTTGTGAAGTGACACTACTGCTCTACTAGTAGGTGCTGGGGGTGGAGAAATATGGTAGCTCTGGGTTTTCTCAGCTTCCCTCTTCTGGTATGGAATATCTGTCCCATGAGAAAACTGGGGTAGGGCCAATCAGGCTCCAGTATCATCAGTCACTGCCAGGGCAAAGTCCTAGCTCTATGATTGTGAGTTGGGTGAAAGGAAAAACTCAGTCCTCTCAGCCACATATGCTGATAATAAGGCTTAAGCAACATGGATCTATGGCCTGAAATAAGCCTATCTCCTGCACCCCTCCAGGTAGAGCTGAGGAAAAAAAGGGAGCTGTTATTTTCTTGGCCACACTTGCCCAAGTAGAGAACCTAGAGTAAATCTTCCATAACATGAAGCTGAGGAAGGCAGGGAATGGGAGCAGTGCATACCTCAAATGCCACTGACCCTTATGGACAAGATTCAGTAGACTTTTTGGGATAATTGTGTCACTGATTTCTGTGTGGTACTTAGATCAATTTTCAGAGTATTTAAATGGTTGTTTTCTATAATTTTCATCAGCTACATGATTGTTACTCTTGGAAAGAGGGTCTGCTGAGCTCCTCACACTGCTTGCCTGTTTTTATAAATAAAGTTTTATTGTAATACAGCTACACTTATTCATGCATGTGTTGTCTATAATGTTATTTGTGCTCAATGACAGAGCCAAGTAGCTGCAACAGTGATCATATGGCCTTCAAAACTTAAAATATTTACTCCTTGGCCCTTCACACACAAAGTTTGTCTGCCCCTGCCTTAAATAGACATTCCTTTGTTTTAATAAGCCTTCTGGAACACTTATTTCATGTCATTTTAATAATTTTGAGACAAAAATAATATAAATATTGTTTAAAGATGCAAAAACATCTCAGTGGGCTATGCAGGTATAGTAGGGTTGACCAGTGATCCAAACCATGTTATAAGTTAGTATAATCAGCTGCTCTGACAGAATAGAAGTTCCACTTGGGGGCCGAGAGCTATTATCTGAGAAGTAAATACGGATTCGAGAGGTTTTTAGAGGAAGACAGGCCTGAGTAGAGGACTGATGAAGGAAATCGGGACTAGGGAAATGGCAAAATGAAGATACAGAGTGTCGAAGAATTGATGGAAGAGAGGATTCACTGGAGTCCTAAAGCACATTGAGAGATACCTGCACCCAGGATCCGTTGATAAACTTTAAATCACTCTTTCTTGCGGACCTCCAAATTATCAACATTGTGCTTCCTGCCTTGAGGCAATTTACAAGAAAAATAAATGCTTTTAAGGATCTGACTGGAAAATAGCAAACACTGCAGAAGCAGATGTTTATTACATTTTGAGAAGGTATTCCCCACCCCAGACCCTAGTCCTCTCTGCCTTGAAGCTCTAGACCCACAGTAGTATATGTTTCCCATGCTCAGCTCACCGTTCCCAGGATGAATATAGCTTTTGCAAATTTTGACCCAAAACTGTGAAATTACAAGCACGTTTTGTAACTCTTCTGTTATCCCACAGCTATGATCCACTGTTTCCCTTGTTATCCAAAGCCCTCTTACCCTCCTCTTAGATAGTTGTACTGTGACCATAGTTAAATCTCCTATGCACACAGACATACCTATATCATTCACTTTTCAGGCTTTCTGGGAAACCGGAGAAGCATATTTTTTAGATTGCCTATAAACCTGAAATTACAGTAGCATCTTTCATTGCTCTTTCCCTTTAACTGTACAGTGCCTCTACTCAGACTGCTATTTTCTTGCTACAAAGATATAGCTGTCTTTAAACAGGGTGAAATAGAAATAACTACAGAAAAGGAGTGCTGAGCTGGGACAACAGCTCTCTCACTAACTCATTGTGTAACCCATTTACCCCTCCCTCCATCCATTTAGGCCTGTTTCTTCCTCTATAAAAAGAAGGTGTTAGATTGGATGACCTCTAAGGTCACTTCCAACTCCACAGATTTCTGAAGTCTAAGAGTAAATCTTTGGAAGTTGTTTTTCTTTGTTTTTTTTTGTTTGTTTGTTTGTTTGGTTTTTTTTTCAGCTGCATCCTCTGGGTTGGTTTTGTTTAGAAGAGCTTTCCACCTGGGAAAAATTTTTTTGCAGTGGTATATAGAGCCTAAAGCATACATTTCCCATGCTTCACTCCCATCACCCACATTGGGCCACAACCTCAGCAAATTTGGCCCCAGTGTTGCAAAATTCCAGCGTTGATGCATCACCCTGCATTTCTCCCACAGCTGAGAACTTCTCCCTTTCTTTACTTTTGCAAGTCTTCATAGGCCCTCCCATTCCACTTGAGGATTTACATGCTGGGGCATAAAACCTAATATATACCTTCAGATCAGCACCTTCCTCCTTAAACTGTACAGACTTCCTTTAAAGCAAAGCATGTACTCTGGGGTCTTGCCTCTCCAGCTCCTGTAGAAATGCTAGGTACAATTAGTTCTAATGCAAATGATTAATGGTCCCATATATGCCACTTATTTAATTTAATTTCTAAAGTTGAATAAATATATGAGATTCTCTGGATATTTTTTGTTCATCTGTCAAATAGAGATAAGACGTGCTTCACTCACCCCATAGAATTGTTGTGGGTGCTCACCTTAGTGAATGATGTAAATGCAATTTGCAAATTATTCATACTATACCCTGCATATAGTAAATGTATTCAACATGTTTACCAATAGTGATAAAATCGGCTGTTGTTGTTTAAAATATTTTAAAGGGACTGTCTTAACGCCTATTGGCTGTGCTATCCTACATACAAATTGGGAAGACAAAAGGAGGAATTCTTTTCAGCTGGGGAAGCCAGTCAATTTATCAATACAAACAAAGGGCTTATCTTGGGATTGCAACATATCCTCACATTGAAAGATGAGAGGAAAACTTTAACCCTCAGAAACATAAATTTTGAATTTCCAATCTCTCTGATATAGAGCACTTTCGGAACTACCAAAGTTTGTGGTCAAGTTTACCAAAAAGGCCCCACAACAAGTATCTCTTCAATCTGCATTAACTATTTGAAATATCCCTAGGTAAGACTTTCTGTGTGTGTGTGTGTGTGTGTGTGTGTGTGTGCGCGCGTGCGTGTGTGTGTATATGCACTCATCTGTGCTTTTCTTTAAAGCCTTGATCCCAAGTCAAATAAAACAGGAGACCTTACACGTAATACATATTAACAGAGATTTGTTGAGTATGTTGAAATTACAGTTCTTTTCAGGGGGCAAGCTGTTTTCATTCATTAGTATCTTAGGAAAGAGATGTAGCTGAGGTCAGGGCAGGAGTGGAATAATAGTTTAATTGGGAGAGGGGAAAAAGGGATAACAGTATAAAATATTGGGATAATTTTGCATGGTTTTCTCTTGGACTGTATCAGAGCAGAGACACAAGTATACCTTTCTAAAATCAGGCTTCTAGTTACTGAGAATTCACCCTACCCAAAATGCCAGGCTTTTTGCACCCTGGAGAAAGTAGAACTGATATACAACCTTATGTTCTGGTTTGTTGTCTTTTGTTTTTTGGGGACTACAATGGAAGAGTGGAGCTCAGAGAAAAGACCTTGTATTTATTTTACTAAACTTTCCGTCCAGTCTTATGATGGCTCATTGGGGGAAATGGAATTTCTATCAGGGTAACTGTAACCATTAGGATAATTTTTCTTGAATTTCTAAAACCAAATTAATTGATGGAAAGTGCATTATAATGGAATTTACTTGGTTCCTCTTTATTATGCAGACATAAAATTTCTGTTTGAGATACTACCCTTAAAATGTCAAGGTTTTAAACTTATATTTAAGGCACTTACTGGATTTCATACTCTGGCCTGACCTCTCATATTCTCTCTTAGAGAGCTCAGTTAGTTGATTGTTCAGAGTTCTCTAATTGCAGGCTTGAATCTCTGGGAAATAGAATTTAAAACATTGCAACTTCTTAAATGGCAATCAAGTCTCTCTGAGTACTCAGTCTATTGCTAATTTTAAAATTAAAGACATGATTTTTTCTGCATTCAAATCTGTCTTCCAGGGTTGAAGATTGCTTAGTGGAGTACTCTGGCTGCAATTGAGGAAGAAAGTGATATAAATACAGATGGTCATGAGTGCTGTAAATAATGTTTTCAAGGAGCTCCACATCTAGGATTAAAGTATATTAAATTAAATTCATTGCTTTGAAGAAAATGGTCAATTTTGTTGAGTTTTGTGTGTGTTCATGACTATATTTCAACATAAGTTGAGCTTAGTTCTACAGACTTTTTGGCTTAGAAGATGATAACATTTTAAATTATTTATTCAGTTTATTTCTTCAGATTCACAGGGTGGATACAAGGTAAAGCAAGAGCTGTGGGTAGAAAACAGTTCCAGAGAGGGTATGCTCAACACAGTGGCCAACTAGTTCTAATAGGAATACAAAAATAGTCTGTAAAATGGAGAAAGATACGCCCTTTCTGCTCATCCAAATCATAACTGTCCTTTATCCTTCAAAGTCCCTTTTAAATTTTCACTGTGTCCAACAAATATCAATCCCCTGGGTCTTGGAACTATCTATCCTTATTTAGAGTGTTTGTAGTAAGTAAGCTTCCAAAGAAGCCACAGTCCTGCATAAAGTCATTTAGAGCATTTTGATCAACTAAATGGATGAGCAAAGCAATGCAGCCTTAGAAATGGGTAAAAAGCAAGGAGAAGGCCCTTGCCAGGTGACAGATCCCAAAGAGCACGAAACTTGTTTATCCCAAGGGTCTGCATGTTTTAAGCTTTAATGTATATAGCGGGGATTTGTTTTGCTCTCACTGTTCACTTTACCCACTCTATCAAAAGTAGTGTCAAAGTCTCACTTTGAATAGGGCAGTTTGGCCTATTAGGATAGTCTTGAGTGATCTGGATTATCCCTTCATCATGCTATGGCTCTCTGGTAAATTAATTACCCAGTACATTCCAAAACTAAAACTTTTCTCTGTTAACAGCTAAATACTAATGAGTTTTAAGTGGCTGTTTCACATACTTCCTTTGATTGTACTAGTTATTTTTGTGGGGGATTTTTGCTTTAAACCTAGGGTAGGGGATTTTTGCTTTAAACCTAGGGAAGTGATGTTATATCCTGTTTTTGCAGCGGTTTGTTAATAGTAACCAAAGTTCACTGCTTAGCTGAGTAATTATTTTGTAATGTGAAACAAGTAAAATAATTGATTCAAAACTTCTTCCATATGTTGCCACTAACTTAATTATGAGGACTGAATAACACAGGCCATCCTGAAGACAAGAGCCTAGGAATAATGCGAAAGTAAACATTTCTGTGCTTGCCACTATTCAGGAAGTGGCTATCTAACAATTGCACTAACAAAAGTGGAATGGCAATAATTATTTAATGATTACACTGATCTTAGTGCCAGAAGGAAATCTCTGCCTGAAAACATTCATAGGGCTATTCTAAATATCTTAGAGTATTATTAGATTAATCAAGTATGTTTTTATCAATAACTGAAATTTATGTTAATACCAATAATAGCTCTACTTTTTGAACATTTACTTTCTATGTGTTGGTCACTATGCTTGATACTTCATATGCATGTCATTCTATCTGTAAGGTGGATATTATGTTATCATCCTCTTTTTTAAAACAAGAAAACAGACTCAGCAATGTTACGTTATTTGCGTAAGATCACAAAGTCAATAAAGATGGCAACAGCCCCCTTGCCCTTAAAAATTATGCTATACTCACAACCCTGCATTCAAGCTCCAGGTAAAATTAACAGAAGCACAAAACAAGAGTCCTGCTCTCTAGTAGTTTTCAAGCTAGTGAGACACGACTCCCAGTCAGAAACATTTCAGAGAGAATATAATAAGTACTCAATTGTGGGGCTCTATCGTTAAGCATCTAACATCTGGGCATTCAAATAATGAAACTCAGACCAAGACACATCTCAAAATCATGTGAATGGAATTTGAGCTGCTTTAACTGCACTGAAAAGTTGCCTAGAAGTAGCAGAGGCAAGGAGGAATGCCACTGACATTTATTGCCCACCTATTACTGTATAGGTACACAACTTCATTTCAAACTAAAATGACTTTTTTGAGGAAGTATTTCACAATGGAATAAATTTAAATTTAGATTAGTTAATTGGCCAGGAAATCCTAGCATAAAGTAGTGAAGCTAAAATTTGGGCCCACATGTGTCTGGTTCCAGAACCCAGGCAAGCTATATTTTATAGGGAAAGAGTATAGACATGGAGTGCCACTCTTGCCATAAGTAGAAGTGGGATGATAATAATACCAACCACCTTATAGTTTTTAAAAAATTGAATCCCAGAATTGGAATATTATTACCTATTCAACAATTTTTTAATGGTTACACACTATTATGAATGCATTTAATACCACTAAATTGTACACTTAAAAATGTGTAAGATGGTAAATTTTGTTATGTGTATTTTACCACACAAAAAATTAATAAACTAGAAGAAAACACAATTAATCTTTAATCATATGACTAATTCTAAGCTCAAAATACAACAAAAGTCAGATCCAGAGGATAGATTCCTATATGTGGAGGGAATAGACTCAATAAGGAATTATAGATTTTTTTTTTGAACACTTCATAGTTTATTTAGCTTGGCTTTTTTCTACCATGTCCCTCCAACCCAAAAAGCATGTGTAGTGGACGCTTTTTTTTTTTTTAATTTTACTTTAAGTTCTGGGATACATGTGCAGAATGTGCAGGTTTGTTACATATGTATACATGTGCCATGGTGGTTTGCTGCACCTATTAACCCGTCATCTAGGTTTTAAGCCCCGCATGCATTAGGTATTTGTCCTATTGCGCTCCCTCCACTTACCCCTAACCCCCTGACAGGCCCTGGTATGTGATGTTCCCCTCCCTGTGTTTATGCGTTCTCATTGTTCACCTCCAGCTTAGGAGTAAGAACATGCTGTGTTTGGTTTTGTTCCTGTGTTAGTTTGCTGAGAATGATGGCTTCCAGCTTCGTCCATGTCCCTGATAGGACATGAAATCATTATTTTTTATGGCTGCATATTATTCCATGGTGTATATATGCCACATTTTCTTTATTCCATCTATCATTGATGGGCATTTGGGTTGGTTCCAAGTCTCTGCTATTGTAAATAGTGCAGCAATAAACATATGTGTGCATGTATCCTTATAGCAGAATTATTTATAATCCTTTGGGTATATACCCAGTAATGGGATTGCTGGGTCAAATGGTATTTCTGGTTCTAGATCCTTGAAGAATCGCCACACTGTCTTCCACAATGGTTGAACTAATTTATACTATTACCAACAGTGTAAAAGTATTCCTATTTCTCTATAGCCTTGCCGGCTCAACCATTTTTCTACCCTTCATTCAAAAGTATTATGGAAGTGAATTAAATGATGTGTGAAAAGTGTCTGGAATATATTAGACAATTCATAAATGAAAGCTCTTGTCCTTTTATTAATGGAATGTATTGAGAAGAAAATTTACAGTGATGCATTAATTTTGAAGCCTTTGCATCTGGATACCCTTTAAAACATTGAAAATGAAAAACTCAAATAAATCTTAGGAGTATTCTTGATTACATATGTTCAGAGATACAAACAATTATTTTCCAGATAAAATTCCTAACAGAAAAATGAACCAATCAAGCCATAATTTAACAAAAATAAGCTCCCTTGCAAGCTGGTACTATCAATAGTGCTTATTTTCATTACATCTCATTAGTTGTTTATAATATTACTTACTGTCTTATAACTTAAGTGCTTTATTATAGACAACATACTGAGCCTGACACTTAAACTGTAGGTAGGATGGGACTTGCATAATCCTGTTCATGATTTCGTGGTAACAGTGAGAGACAGTACTCCCCACCCCCAACTGTAGCGTACTTTGGTCCCAGGGAACAAAAGGAATTATCCTCTCAATTGGCACTGTTTCATAAGACAGAGATGCTACACTGGTGCTAGACACAAGTTATAGAAGAAATTATATAAGTATTATCAAAAATGTAAAATAGGTGTGACATAACCTCAGAAAAAAGTAAATTGAATCACGAAGTCAGGAAAGTATATCCTTCTCAATTTTCTTTCATATTTTTCTGATTATGTCAAAGATAAGTCTCTCCTATACTATTGAAACCAAGCTAGTATTACTTTAAAATTCAGTGTTACAAGATTAAAATGTTATTTATAATCCCCAGGGTAAGTACTACAAAAATCAGAATAAAACAAAAATAAAAAAAATACAATGCAAGGCAAAAATAAGAAGGCAGTCAAATAGTCACACTAGAAGAAATAATCACAGAAATACAATTTTTAGAGAAAAAAAGATTTTAAGAAAATACTATACTATGAGCACTTGTACACCAATTAATTTGATGACATAGATAAAACAAATGTTTAGAAACACACAAACTATCAAAACTAACTCAAGAAGAAATAGAACATAACAGACCTATAAAAAGTAAAGAAATAAAATCATTAATCAAAAATTCTGGAAAAAAGGAAAGGAAAGGAAAGGAAAGGAGAAAGGAAAGGGAAGGGAAGGAGAAGAGAAGGAGAAGGAAAGGAAAAGGAAAAAAAGAAGGAAAGGAGAAGGCAAGGAGACGGAAAGGAGAAGGAAGGAAAAAAAGAAACAAGACCAGATAGCTTTACTTGTGAATTCTAACAAGTTTTTAATGAACACCAATGCTTCTCAACCCCTTCCAAAAAATAAAAGTACAAAAAACACTTCCTAACTCATTCTATGAGGTCATCATTATGTGGATTAAAAAAACCAGATACAGAAATCACAACAAAATTATAGACAAATATCCTTTGGTTCCTTTGCAATAAATGCAAAAATCTTCAACCAAATTCTAATGAATTGAATCTACTAATATTTTCAAATAATTATATGTCCTGACCAGTCAAATTTATTCCAGGAATGCAAGATTTGTTCAACATATGAAAATCAATTGATGTGATACACCACATTAACAGAATGAAGGGGAAAACAAAGCATGATCACAATAGAGTGAGAAAAAGCATTTGGGAAAACCCAACACTCTTTCATGATAAAAACACTCAACAAATTAGCACTAGAATGGTAGTTCCTCAACATGGAAAAGGGTGTTTATAAAACAAACAAACAAACAAAAAAAAGCCCAGGCCAGGTGCGGTGGCTCACGCTTGTAATCCCAGCACTTTGGGAAGCCGAGGCCGGCGGGTCACGAGGTCAGGAGATCGAGACCATCCTGGCTAACACAGTGAAACCCCGTCTCTACTAAAAATACAAAAAAATTAGCTGGGCATGGTGGCGGGCGCCTGTAGTCCCAGATACACAGGAGGCTGAGGCAGGAGAATGGCGTGAACCTGGGGAGGCAGAGCTTGCAGTGAGCCTGCCTAGATCGCACCACTGCACTCCAGCATGGGTGACAGAGCGAGACTCTGTCTCAAAAAAAAAAAACAAAAAAAAAACCAGCTAACATTATATTAATAGTTAAAAAGTGAAAGATCTGACACAAGGTAAGTATGCCTGCTTTCACCATTTCTGTTCAGCATTGTATTTGAGGTTCTAGTGAGAGAAATTAGGCAAGAAAATAAATAAAATACATCCATATTAGAAAGGATTAAGTAAAATTTTATTTATTCTCTGATGACTTGATCTTACATAAGAAAAACCTTGAAGAATCCACAAGGAAACTGATTAGAGCAACAAACAAGCAATGTTTCAGGATACAAGATCAACGTGACAAAATCAGTTGCAATTCTACACAATAGCAATGAACAATCTAAAAATGAAATAAAAAATACCACTTACATTATCATTAAAAATACCTAGTAATAAACTCAACCAATGATCTGCAAGGCTTGTACATTGAAAACTAGAAAACACTGCTAGAATAAATTAAAGAAGACCTAAAATAACAAGTGTTGAGTAGGATTTGGAGAAAATTAAAACCCTCATAGATTGCTGTTAGGGATGTAAAATTGTGCAGCCACTTTGGAAAAGGCATCCCATGTTCACGAATTGGAAGAATTAATATTGTTAAGATGGCAATACTCTCCAAAGCAATCTACTGATTCATTGCAATCCTAATCAAAATACTAAATATTTTTCACAGAAATAGAAAATGTGATTTTAAAATTCATATGGAATTGCATAGATCTACAAATAGCCAACACAATCTGAAGGAAGAAGAACAAATTTGGAGAACTTACAGTTCAAACTGACTACAACTCTACAGTAATCAAAACAGTGTGGTAGTGGCACACAAAATATACAAAAGGTATACAAAATTTACAATATACAAAATTTAGCTTGAAATTGATCAAAGACCTAAATATAAGAATTAAGTTCTACTGGAAGAAAACATAAGATAAACCTCCATGAACTTGGATTTAGCAATGGATTCTTTATATGATGCCCAAAACACACAAAATAAAATTAAAATAGATAAATTGGACTTAATCAAAATTAAGTGAATCAAATAGCACTATCAAGAAAGTGAAAAACATCTACAGAATGGGATAAAGAGGTTGTAGATTATATCTGATAAGGGATTTTATCTAGAATATATAAAGCACTTTTACAATTCAATAATAAAGAAACAACCCAGTTAAAAAATGGTCAAAACGTCTGAATAGACACCTCACAAAAGAAGACATAAATGGTCACTAAACACACAAAATGGTGTTCAGAGTCATTAGCCATCAAAGAAATGCAAACTAAAACCACAATGAGAAATCACTTTACATCCACTGGGATGACTATATTTTTTTTAGAAAGGAAAATAGCAAGTGTTGTGTAGAATGTGGAGAACTTGAGACCCTCATAGATTGCTGGTAGGAATGTAAAATGGTGCAACCACTTTGAAAAATAATCTTGCTGTTCCTCAAAAGTTTAACATAGAATTCTATATGACCCAGCAATTACAATTTTAGATATATATCCTAAAAATGGGAAACAGGTGTTCTCAAACAACATAAATGTCCATAACTACACATTCACAATCCAAACGTCTGTCAACTGATGAATAGGTAAAATAATTGTGGCATATCCATACAATAAAATATCATTTGAACATAAAATGTAATGAAGGGATGATAAATGCTACAACATAGATGCATATCAAAAACATTATGCTGAATAAATGCATCCAGACACCAAAGGTCACATATTGTTTAATTCCATTTATATAAAATATCCAGAATAGGTAAATCCATACAGACAAAGCAAATTGGTGGTTGCTAGGATTGTGGAGAGGAAGGAATGCAGAGTGACTGCTTAATGATTGGGTTTTCATTTGTGGTAATGAAAATATTTTGGAAATAGAGGTGATGGGTGTACAACATTATAAATACACTAAATGCCACTGAATTGCACATATTACAATGATTAGTTTTATATCATTTAATTTTTGCATCAATTAAAGAGAAATGTATTCTCGGGCTATACCCAAGGCAATTTAAATCAAATGCCTGGGTGGGGAATTCTAAGCCTCATTTTTTTAAAAATCATTTCACCATGCAATTCTAAATGCACAGCCAGAGTTAAGAACCACTTTGACTAACAGAGGTAAGAAAAATGAATCTTTAGATGACACTCATAGGTGATGTAATGCTGACCTACAATTAATTGTAAATCACCCCCATTCAGGAATTTCTTTCATATGGGCAGGTGTTATATCAAAACTAACATTACTACAGGGGAATTTAAAAACAAAATAATATGTTAAAACTTGTGCTCCATGGCACTGTGGAATTCATATTGTGATTCAAACACTATGAACATAAAGCCTGCTTCTGTACTAGTCAACAAATGAACTTTTCTGGCAAACATAGAGGGAGTTGTAGTATGCATTTTACATGAAAGCTGGTCATAGAATGTGTATTAGTCAGAGTTCTCCAGAGGAGCAGAACCAATAGTGATGCAGGGCAGGGTAGCCCCAAAGTAGGGCTTAGCTCTCAAGGATTCTTGGCTTTGCTCAGGAAAGAATTCAGGGACAAGAGAGAGGTAGAAGAAAACAACTTTACTGATGCAGCAGTGTTACATCTCTGGTGGTGGTACAGTTCCAGCAGTGTTACTGCTCTGTGACTTCTACAGAGCAGGGCTACCCCACAGGCAGTGTGTTGATAGTAACAGCTCAGGGAAGTTTTGCATTTATACTTATGGCCACTTTAAAGTACATGTAGATTAAGGTGTGATTAATGCAGAAATGTCTAAGAACGGGTAGAAACTTTTGGGTTATTGAGTCATTGCCATGGAAAGGTGCAGTGACTCCTGAGTGTTGCCATCACAGTAACTCCCAGGTGTTGCCATAGCAATAATAAACTAACATGGAGCACTGGTGGGCATATCTTATGGAAAGCTGCTTCTGCCTTGTTCCTGTTTTAGCTAGTCCTCAATTTGGTCCAGTGTCTGAGTCCCACCTCTGGACCAAAGTCCTGCCTCCTACCTCAATAGGAAGAGATTTACATAGGAAGAAATTTATTATGAGGTAACGGCTCACACAATGAGACTGAGAAGACTCATAATCTGCCATCTACAAGCTGGAGACCCAAGAAAGCAAGTGGCGTGATTCAATCCAAGTCCTAAGCCCTGAGATCCAAGAGAGCTGATGGTTTAACTTTCAGTCCAAGAGCAGGAGAAGAATGATGTCACACTTCAAGCAGGCAGGCAGGAAGCAAAAGGGGTTAATTCCTCCTTCCTTCATCTTTCATACTATTCAGGCCTTCAATGGATTGGATGCTCCCCACCAATATATATTCTGGGGAGGGCAATCTACTTTGCTGAGTCCATTGGTTCAAATATTAATGGCACTCAGAAGCACCCTCACAGACACACCTCAAAATAATGTTGAATCTGGGCAACCCTTGGCCCAGTCAAGTGGACACAGAGAATTAACAATTACAAAATGTAAAAGAAATGCTATAATGAGTATTGTCCAAGGGACCAATTTGTTATACATGTTGATATTTAAAAAACAGCATATCTTTTCTTTTTTTTTTCTTCTGAAGACAGGGAGAGAAGGGTCCATACTTACCTCTTTTACTTCCTATGTGCAACAGGTGTCTATATTCATTCTTTATTTAAGGACAGCAATGCACCAGAGTAATACTCAAATGGAGCTCCCAATGTCTGCTTATATTAGGGCCACTGGAAGCCTCTTTAGCAGAGTAATTTTCATGGTACCACAGCATCTAATGTTAACAAGCTTAATTTTATACTCTAGCTTTACCGATTATTTTCTGTGTGACAGTAGGCATGTCACTTACTGTCCCTGAACTCCAGTTCTTTATCTTGAAATCTATTGTGAGTATAAAGCAAGATTAAACTTTAAAGGTAACTACCAGAGTGCTCATCACCACATTAAGTAATAAATTAATTTAGATTAATAACAGGAAACTTAGGAACATGAGAGACAGTTTCCCAGCAACCCTCCCTATCTACCCTGCCCTATAATTAATTCCTCAAATGACAACCTCTCTATAACTCGGAGAGTGCTGACCTAAATTAAAATGGAAGTCCCTCAATTACAAGAACAGAGGAGGGTGCTGTGAAAGAAAAACATTACCTACTAGAGTATTTTTGCTGACAAACCCTGCCTTTCCTTTTTGGAAAAGCCTTTCTTGTTTGGAAAGCCTCCAAAAAAAGGAATTGCTTCTGTTCTTTTTTAAGAAAATTTTTTGTATACATTTATAGGGTACAAGTGTGATTTTGTTTCATAAATAGATTGCATAGTGGTGAAGTCTGGTCTTTTAGGGTATCCACCAGCCAGATAATGTACATTGAATCCATTAAGTAATTTCTCATCATCCGTCTCTGTCCCACCCTTCTGAGTCTTCATTTTCTATTATTCCACACTCTATGTCCATGTGTACACATTGTGTAGCTTCCACTTATAAGTGAAAACATGTTGTATTTTTCTGTGTCTGAGTTGTTTCACTTAAGGTGATGGCCTCCATTTTCATCCACGTTGTTGCAAAAAAACATGAAATCATTCTTTTTTAAGGCTGAATAGTATTCCTGTGTGTGTGTGTGTGTGTGTGTGTGTGTGTGTGTGTGTGTACCATATTTTATCCAATCATGGGTTGGTCCTATATCTTTGCTATTGTGAATAGTGCTGTGATAAACATGAGTGCAGACGTCATTTTAGCATTTCTTTTCCTTTGGGTGGATACCCAGTAGAGGGATTGCTGGATTAAACGGAATTTCTATTGTTAATTCTTTGAGAAAACTTGACACTGTTTTCATGAAGGTTGTACTAATTTACATTCCCATCAGCAGTGTATGAGAGTTGCCTTTTTCTTGACATCTTTGCCAACATCTGGTTTTCTTTTTGTCTTTTTAATGATAGCCCTTCTGACTCATGTAAGAGGATATCTCATTATGGTTTTAATTAGCATTTCTCTGATGATTAGTGATGTTGAGCACTTTTTCATATGCTTGTTGGCCATTTGTATGTCGCCTTGTCCTTAATAGAGGCAAGTGTCATTTGCAGGAATCAGATTAAGCTGTAGCTCTTATGGGTCACGATATCCATGTTTTCCATAGTGGCAGCTGATTGTGAATCTTACTCTTGTTGGCTCCAGACCTATCAAATATATATTTCCCACCATTTAAGTGTGTAAATATTAATGATTACATTGTCCATCAGAGAGACGCTTTCATAAGAGACATTTTTTAAGCATTTATTTTAAGTTCACGGATACATGTGCAGGTTTGTTAAATAGGTAAACTTGTGTCATGGGGTTTGTTGTACAGATTATTTCATCACCCAAGTATTAAGCCTAGTACCCATTAGTTATTTTTTCCTGACAGACCCTATTGTGTGTTGTTCCCCTCTATGTGTCCATGTCTTGTCATCATTTAGCTCTCACTTATAAGTGAGAACATGTCGTATTTGGTTTTCTGTTCCTGCATTAGTGTGCTAAGGATGATGGACTCCAGCTCCATCCAGGTCACTGCAAAGGACATGATCTCATTCTTTTTTATGGGTGCATAGTATTCAATGGTGTATATGTACCACATTTTCCTTATCCAGCCTATCATTGATAGGCACTTAAGTTGATTCCATGCCCTTTATCATCGAATTCAAATAATTAATTTTCTTTCAAGTGTGGCTTTGAGTGTAAAGTGAAAGTAAATAGTATGATGTTGTAGTTCTTCTGAAACCAACTTACTGGCATTGCAACCTCTTTGCCATTTATCATAACATAAAATAATAGATGAGGCTAGACCAAAATGTTCTTAACTAAGTCCTTCCTAGCTAATTTATTCATTTTGTTAGAAAGTGAAGGAAGTTTCTGCTTTCTAATGAAAGCTTAGAACATTATTCCTGGGTAAGGGGCTGACCTATGAGGCAGAATAGGTGTTTAGTATTTATGAATTCATCAGCAAGTTTTCAGAGGACCTAGACACTGGGTATGCACAAAAATATAACACTCACACTGTTAAGGAATAAAGTGTGTTTTCTAGAACCAGTTTCTTTTTGGAAATGGTCATTTATATTGGGGACACACACCACCAAGGACATACTATTGAGGTGGAATTATCACCATAAATGTGCCCTCTGTCTTTTCTTCTTTCTTACAAATGTAATATATGTTGACTGATTGAATCATTCATTCAACTAACATTGAGCACCTAATATGTTTCATGAATGGTGTTAAACACTCTCCAGTGCTAAGTGGTGAGCAAGAGGGACATGGTCCCTATCCTCAAGGATCTTGCAGATCAGTGTGAAATAGCAAAACAAAAAAAGTATGTTTGATTGCAATGACAAATTATTCAAATGGTATGTAGGAACAGTACAGGCTTCTGTGAGGGACTAATGTAAACAAGGGAATCAAGGAAAACCTCTTTGCTTATGTCACTTTGAAATTGAGAATGAGAATAACAATAAATTAATCATGTGAAAACTTGTAGGAAGAACATACCAGGAAGCAGAAGAGTAAGTAGAAGGGCTTTAAGGTGGGAGTGGGCTTCAGGAATTTAAAGAATAGCTGAAGAAAGGGTGATAGGGAATAAGTTCCTAGAGGTAGTCTTATGGCAAATAATCATGGAGAGTCTTGTCTGCAGTAAAGACTTTGGCTTGTGTTATAAGTGTGATAGGAATCAACTGGTGGCTTCTAAGCAAGAGATTCACATGACCTGATACATACTTTTAGAAAAAGATATTCTAGGATCTCTATGATGAATCGGATTTGGGGATCAAGAGTGGAGTGAGGAGTTCATAAGGGGGTTATTGTGAAAAAAATTGGAAACTTTATAAAAGCACACAAATTATTTTTGCTCTGAGGTAACCACTATTATAATTTTGGGGTGTTTTCTTCCCATTACTTACATAAAAAAAGAAATTGTAATGTGCAGATTGATTTGCAACCTACCTTTTTTATTAGTGTTTTGAAGCCAGTTTCAATAGAACTTTCTAGCAAGAGAAGAGGGAGAGGGCAGGCATTTCTTACTTCTCAGTTTGAATGAACTTTGTTCTGTTGCCTGTTCATTCCTCCTTAGCTCTCCCCCCGCCAGGGTACTGCTTCTTATGGTCTACATGGATCCAGATAAGCAGAGGATGAATAAGAGGGCCTGGTTGCAGTGTTAGCAGGTTTAAAATCTATCATTCTTTAATCTTTGCTTCTTTGAAATCTGAACCTTCTGTAGCCCTCACTCCTCTACCCCAAGACTTCCGTACCTTACTGTTTTCTCACCCCACACACTTGCATCAGAGTGCCTGGAGTTTGATAAGAAAGTATGATATTCTGTTTTTAAGCCACTGCATGGCAGAAATAGAAAGTCCCTTATTTGGCAGAAAAGGAAATGGAGGTCCAGAAAGGACTAATAATTTGTGTCACATTCCAGGAAATGAGCGCAAGAGCGTAGACTAAATCTTGGGTCTTTTAGCTCCCAGGCTAGTGCTCTTTCCTCTACAGTAGCAGCACTTTGTTTCATAATTATCAGCAAATCCAGTTGCCAGCATGTCTATTAGCAACAGATTCAGGGCCAGAGAGGAAACAGAAACAGGGCAGAACCCAGTCCTGGAACACTGAAAACAATCTGAGTTCTCATTAGAATAATTACTACCATTTTGCTGGTTCAGGGCAACTTTGAGCTTGTGCTTAAAGTTACTGTGTGGGGAGCTCTGGTAAATTGGTTTCTTTCTACAACTTTATGACTTACTTGTTCAAGTGACTTTGTGACTTTCTTTTCTTCTTCCCTTCCTTTTTTCCCCATTCCTTTCTTCTTTTATCTCTCTCTCTCTCCCCCTCTCTTTCTTGTTCTTAAAACTGATTCATGCCAGGTCTCTGTCTTTGGCCACTAAGTTCAATTTGAGTGTGAAATATCACATTTATAAACCGAGTCAAATCAAGAAATGAATATGAAGACAAATGGTAGAAAGTTCAGAAATTTAGATGAGAGAAAGTTCCAATTCTCATGGAAATAGTTGTCTCACCCAGGGCTTATTTATATATGACTAAGATGAAATGTGTCCATGAATCAGCATCTATTATTAGATATTGATAATTCAGTTTTTATGCATAGGGATGAAGAGCCTGCATGTGCTGGGAGCCAGCTCATACAAATTATTTTAAATGCTTACAGCTTGCTCTCATGTTTCTATTTCATTTTGAGCCAAAGCTAAACATCCCTCCTAACATCTTTTTCTCATGTAGTTCTTCAACCTGAATTGGTAGGCTGTATGGAGATAAGGATATCAAAGGGAGGAGGTTATTTCATGTTCTTTCACCTTTCTCATATCCAAACTGCAAAAGTAACTACAGATAAATGAAATGAAGTATTAGAAGCACATAAAAAGAGTGCAATATAGTCCTGGCATGCTGGCTCATGCCTGTAATCTCAGCAATTTGGGAGGCCTAGGCAGGTGAATTATTTGAGGGCAGGAGTTTGAGACCAGCCTGGCCAACATGGTGAAACCCCATCCCTACTAAAAATACAAACATTAGCTGAGTGTGGTGGCGGGTGCCTGTAATCCCAGCTACTCAAGAGGCTTAGTCAGGAGATTTGCTTGAACCCTGGAGGCAAAGGTTGCAGTGAGCCAAGATCACACCACTGCACTCCAGCCCGGGCAACAGAGTGAGACATTGTCTCAAAAAAAAAAAAAAGAAAAAAGAGTGAAATATAAAAACCTGTTCCTTACTAATACCAATTACACATGACAAAGATTGCCATCATTAGGATGTCTTGCACACCTAAGTTCCATATGTTGTACTAAGAGTTTTCATGTATATTTTCTCTTCATTCTCATGACAATCTTGCAAAGTAAGAATTTTTAGTTTCCATTCCCAGTGAGGAAACCAAAATTTTGAAAGATCAAGTAATTCACCCAAAGTCAAATAGTTAATGGTGCGGCTGACATTTAAAACCGGGGTTGCCCAACTCTAATGCCTACAGCCTTCTTTGGGACTGCATTGGTAGGAAAATATAGAAATAAATAATTCCTCATTGTTGGGACATAAAGTTAACAGTGAAAAAGGGAAATCAATTTGTTTGACAGAGTGAGGTTTGATTCATCTCATTTTGTCTTCAAATTTGTATCTTGATTTGACTCAGTTTATAAATTTGATGTTTGACTAACATTCAAAATTGGACTTGGTGGCCAAAAACAGAGAGTTGACGTGAATCAAGTTTAAAAACAAAACAAAGGAAGGAAGGAAGGAAGGAAAGAAGGAAGGGAGGAAGGAAGGAAGGAAGGAAGGAAGGAAGGAAGGAAGGAAGGAAGGAAGGAAGGAAAAGAAAGAAAGAAAGAAAACTGATCTAGTTTGAACTTTGGGGATTGCATCTTGTTAACATAGTAATTATTGTGCCATACTCTGCTCCTGTAAAGTATTCTTGTGCTAATGATATTTAAAAATAAATAAATAAAACTCTATAAATTAGCCTCATTGGAATGTTAGAATTAAAAGGAGCTTAGAAATCATGTATTACACCCTCATGGTTTTAAAAATAAGGAAACCAAGCCCCAGAGAGGGACTGTGACTTGCCCAAGGTTTCACAGAGAGTAATTGCCACACTCTGCTTTAGAATGTTGGTATAGATATAGCGGAGATCACTTAATTTTGCTGCCTGAAACATTATTATGATTTAATTTAATAGAAGTTGAATAATTATCAAGAAAATATATAAACGAAAGGCCTACAAAATAAATCTACCAATCAATAATTATTTGTACATTGTTTTCCTGATGCCCAAGTCCTGTGCTAAACTATGTTGTGAGAAACAGCGATGAATATGATTCAGTCCTTGCCCCTAAGAGACTCAGTTTTGGTAATAAAACAAAAATAACATATGCATAAATTAATAACCCAAAAGGCAACATAAGGTAGTGGAAAGAGAACAGGAATGGGAATCATGGGAATCAGGGTATCTGCATCTGAGTCCCTATTCTAATACAACTTATTCTAATACAACTTATGGGATCACTAACTATGTCATTCTGGCAATGCTTTGGCTTTGTTTCCTTCTCTGAAATAAGGGGATTTGATGACTGCTACATCAAGGAATGGTATGGGAGGGTAGTAGCTCTCCCTATCTCCATCAGGTCCTGCTGCTTAAAGAGGTTAATATCAACACATACCTAACATCAACAAATACATAATTATATATAATATTTATTATATAATGTATAATAATATAATTCTGCTTATTATATATTTTATATAATATAATATTATGTATAATATTATAGTGTATAATATTATAGTATATAATATCAACAAGCAGCATTTTCTCAATCTTGCCAATACAGTATCAAGTCAGATGTTCTAGGGAACTCCCCACATTTCCCTGACTCTTTTAAACTAAATCTCCATCCTTCACCTTTTGTTATATAGAGCCAATTTCTAAGAGTCCTTCCAAATCTAGATTCTAAGCCAGTTATGCTAAGTATGATCAGTGTGGCACAGCCAGTGGTATTATAGGAGCACAAAAGAAAAAGTCATCACCAAGAGTAATGAGAATAGGGAAACATCTCTAGATTAGATTGGACCTACGGTGAAAGGTGTTGGGTTTAAAATAGGCTGAGGAGCTACTTGGGAGGCTGAGGCAGGAGAATGGCGTGAACCCGGGAGGCAGAGCTTGCAGTGAGCCGAGATCGCTCCACTGCCCTCCAGCCTGGGCGACAGAGCGAGACTCCAACTCTAAATAAATAAATAAATAAAATAAAAATAAAAAAAAAAATAGGCTGAGGAGCAGTGAGTAGATTCTGAGAAGAGGGGGCAGGGGTCACAGAGATGGAAAAACCCAAGAGATGCCTAGAGGAGAGTGAAAAATCTAATTTGGCTGAAATAGAGAAATGGATGACAGCAGTGGTTTGGTAAAGCAATCTGCGGTTAGACAAATTTCCAGGCCAAGTACTCTGTTACTGCTCTTTTTGTTTGTTTGTTTGTTTTCTTGTTGGTTGGTTGGTTTTGTTTTGTTTTTGCCATTTTAATTGGATGCCAAAGGAGGCATGCTGAGCTAAGGAAATGAAAGGTGATACTAAATGCCATTTGAAGCCACATGCAATCAGCCTATAAGCTACCACACCAATAACCAATAAAAATGTCAAGTTTTCATTGTATGCTGATTCCCATTTTGGTCCTAGGCTGTATGTGTTGCTTTTGTGGGCTTCTCTTCCTTCTCATGGTTGTTCTTCTATTAACCCAAAGTCACAAATGTTGGAGCCTAGAATGTGATTAGAACAATAACTTTCTTGTTGCTCCCCAGGTGAGACAAACCCACAGAAGTCCAGTGAGGGCCTAGCCAGGAAACTACCACCAACCAAGGGGAAGAATGATCCAGAAGAGACAGAGTGACCTCAGAACAGTGAGCTAGAACCTCCGAATGGCAAGCTGGAGTAGATGCAAGAACAGAAGCAGGTCCTGGCGAATAGAAAAGATATAGAAAGATGGTACTGCAAACAACTCAGATGAAATTCACACAGGTCTTGATTTTATCAACACTTTATTGAATTCACTGGCAATAAAAGAATGAACTGGGAAAATAGATTAAAGAGGGAAAGAATAACTTATACTGTAACAATTGTCTTTATTCTTCACCCACCCCTTAATACCACCACTTTCCTATGAATAAAAGAATGTATAAATTATTCATTGTTAGTAGCAACAACCACAATCAAAGCAAAAAAGAAGTAACCATCCTGAAACAACTTTAAAGCACAGCTTAGACATTTTACATAACTACAAAAGTCAGAGTGTACTGTAGTATGGTTACTTAGGAAACTGAGAGCCAGCCAGACATTGGTCTTATTTATATTCAACAAATTCAGTGAATAGGCCAAAATACAGTGACTGTAATGACAGATATTAGTTGTAAGAATCTCTTTTAAGGCCCATAGCTCTTGGTGGTTGTCATAGTAATTAAAGACAGAGGGAATTAATGCATAAACCTTGCGATATTTATTGATGTCAGCTTTATAAGGATGAGTCTTTTGGTCACCTAACCAATCACTATGTATTTTCTTTTAAGCCACTCAACAGGCATTCATTGAGCACCTACCATTTGTATGACACTGGGAGAGCTAGACTAATTATATGGTCACTCTGTTTCTTCCGTAGAGAGAGAAATATGCAGGCCCTAATCATTCCAGTAAGATAAACTACCAAATTCTTATTTTCCCTGTAAGAAACTAGATTCAAATTCAATATGTCATATAGTACAATAAATTGTGGGTGCCCTCATGGACTTTAGAGTCTGGGAGAGAAAATATGGTTTCACAGGGAAATAGAATTTAAGCTGAATCATAAATGATTTGTAAAACTACATAGACAGAGAGGAGGGGTAAAGGCAAGCATGTCAGGGCAACAGTATGAACAGAGCCAGAAATGTGTATGTTTAATGATTTTTCAAGAGACTTTGAGTTTTTCCTACTTTATATTTATGCAGGTTTGGTTATTCGACATAATTAACCAGACCAGGGATTGTAGGAACTGCATTGAATGAAGAAAGTACTTTGAACCCTTAACGGCCCCTCAGCAAATCTATACATGACCAAACAATACCGCTAGGTAACCTATTCCTGCCCTCAGCTGTTTCCTTTGCAATTGTAAAGTTCTTTTAGATTTGTCTCAAATTCATTCCTTCCCAAAGTTCTAAAGATCTGGCTTCCCATCTATGGAATATATTTATAGGGGACACTGCCTATACAATATAGGATCTCCATTGTCTCCCTAAGGCTATGGTCAATCTCTGATATTTGAATTTTTCAGAGATCCTTGGCCCTAAGCATAACTCACTATACTGGAAAACTGGACCTAACTAACTGATGGTAGGGGCCCAGTTAAATGGTTCCTTTCTGTTCTCTTCAAGGGGCCTCAGTTAGTGTTGTCTTGACCCTGAGTGCCACTTCAAGCCTTCATTATTTTCTATGGCACAAATAAGGTGTTTAAATATTTATTAATATCCTTTGTGTTGCTATGAGTTGAGGAGGGCACTTTATCTCCCCTCCCTGATTTCATTCTTAATACTATATGCTCTTTATGTGTCCTCATACTTAAATAGTCATTATGATTTTAAAAGAATTATCATCTTCATTTCTTACTGGATCTTCACAACAGTCTCATGCAGCAGAAAAGGCAGATATTATTACCATGGTATAGCAGATGAGAAGACAGCTTCAGAGTGGTAAATTGTCTTGCTCAAGATCACACAGTTAAGAAAGAGCAGAGCTAAGACTAGAACCCAGCTCTAATTAGTATCAAGTGATTAAGCTGTAGACCCAATCTTGCCATTATTTAAACTCTTGTACTACAGTGTTTCAGGGAACAGGAAGTAGAGAGATGGAGTTGACATTTGACTGGCCCCAGAAATAATAGATCAGAGTTACTGCATGTAGTCCCTTCTCTAGAACTAAGTATAAATAGGAGATTTCCAGAAAATTCTCATAACTTAGAGTTGGCAAGCCAGTCTGTTTTCTCTGCTTCTCTAAACTTAATGGATAATGATCATTATTTATGTTAATAACAGGCTGATTTCAAAAAATGGATTAATGTATCTCAAATAGGATTTCAGATACATAGGGGAATTTTCACAAAGTGCCCCTAAAGAGGAAGGAAGCAGTGGACAGAATGAGCAAATGTTTTTTTCAAAAGTATTATGACAAATAGAAAATAACCTAACTAAAAGCAATACAGAAGTAGTTTTGAATATACTATGCTTTTGGTGAAACAAGTAATTATTTTGGAAATTTAACTATATCTGTGTGTGTGTGTGTGTGTGTTTGTGTGTGTGTGTGTGTGGTGATATTTATATTCCAATAAATTTTAGGCATCAAAGCCAGCTAATACCTCAGTGATTCAGAACTCACATATCCAGCAACCCCACCTATCAAAATACAGCTGACGGAGCCAGAAAGCAAGCACAATTAGTCCCGAATTGACAGAATAGATGTCATAAAGTTCATAAACTAAAACCCACACTCTGTTCTATAGGAGATTTCCCTTTTCTACACATATTATTTCCAAATAAAACAAGCAGGATTTTATTCATTTTTATTAAGTTAAAACTCTGTTCTAACTAGCTGGATTAGTGTTTTCAAAGCCACAAAAAAAAATTAGAAAGAACTCATCAAAACAATACAGACTGCATCAGACAGGCATACTGACTGTAGCAAGAAATGAGTATTGAGAAATTTAAAAGGTGGAGATATAACCACTATATAAATTTTAAAAATTTGGCTGGGTGTGATGGCTCACGCCTGTAATCCCAGCACTTTGGGAGGCCGAGGTGGGTGGATCACAAGATCAGGAGTTCGAGACCAGCCCGGCCAATGTGGTGAAACCCCGTCTCTACTAAAAATACAAAAAAGCTAGCTGGGCATGGTGGCACACGCCTGTAGTCCCAGCTACTTGGGAGGCTGAGGCAGGAAAATCACCTGAACCCAGGAGGTGGAGGTTGCAGTGAGCCGAGATTGCGCCACTGCACTCCAGCCTGGGCATTAGAGGGAGACTCCGTCTCAAAAAAAAAAAAAAAAAAAATCATGGGGCTATTTTAGTGTATGTACAAACAATCTTACACATTTCAATAGCCCTGAAAGAAGCAATGTATACAGTACAATAACTAATGTTTATAATGATGACCTTCAGTCACTCTGAAAAGAGTATATTAAATGTTAGAATTGGTTCTCCTTAAATTATAACAATACTATTACTGCTAACAACAACAACAATTTAAACATTTGTAAATGTCTTTAGTACTTAGAAAGCACTTTCTAGGCCGGACGCGGTGGCTCACGCCTTTAATACCAGTACTTTGGGAGGCCGAGGTGGGTGGATCACCTGAGGCTAGGAGTTCGATACCAGCCTGGCCAACGTGGTGAAACCCCGTCTCTACTAAAAATGCAAAACATAGCTGGGTTTGGTGGTGGGCGCCTGTAATCCCAGCTACTCAGGAGACTGAGATAGGAGAATTGCTTGAACCCAGGAGACAGAGGTTGCAGTGAGCCAAGATCGCGCCACTGCACTCCAGCCTGGGTGACAAGAGCGAGACTCCGTCTGAAAAAAAGAAAAAAAGAAAGAAAGAAAAAGAAAGCACTTTCTAAAAAATAGGTCTCATATTTATTTCATCTAGTTCAGCCCCCTTATATACAGATAATGAAACTGAAACCCAAAGAGAAATAACTTGCCCAAGATCACATAGCTTATCTGTGGGAGACCTAAAACTAGGATCCTGCTCCTCTGAATCTGGATTAGTGCTTCTTTCATACACCATGGTCCCTTGTTTAACAAACTGCTTAAGTGGATAGGAAATATATATGTTTTAGAAATATCTGCAACTAAAGTGATATTTTAAATGTTCCAGTATTTAAAGAGGTACACAATCATTTCTATAGAATACAATTTTCTAAAATACAGATCTCTAGCATATTTCAAAATATCTAGGTTTTAATCTGTTCCCTCCAACCCCATGGTGAATATTATCTGTTTTTGTTTTGATAAACAACTTCTATAACAAAAAAGAAAATATAACAAGCAATTTTGTGAATTTATAATCTTATAAGGACAAGAAAATAACCCTTTATAATTTTATAAAACTAACCACTGCTTTTTAAAGTATCATTTTAATGAAATCCAATACATGAAAATTTAAGTTTCAAATTTTCCAATGGGAATAATTATTATTATAAAATTATTTAGTCACAGAGATTTTAAAAATAGAAAATTTCCATTTGGCATTTATAATAAGATTCAACTCACCCATGTTGTCCTTAAATATATCTTTACTTGTGAAAAATGAGGCTTAGCTAGAGTTTAGCACTGAAATAATATAGGCATGTGTGTGATTTTTTTAAATTAACTCATTGATTTAAACATATCAAGTAAACTTGTGACTGAGGTTGTATATACAGCAATCAATTTACGCGGACTATGGCACAGTTGATTTTAATGAACAAATATAACAAAATATTTTCTGAATGAGTGCTGGTATATAAAAACCTACATCACGTCATACATATTCACAGACATTCAAGCAAAAAACCTTCATTGTAAGCCCTGAAACTCAAGTTTGTGAAATATATAAGGACATAACTTTATTTTTTGTTTAAGGTGTATTCATTGTGTGAATCCCATGATACTGCTGAGATATTTGAGGTTCATCTGAATTGTTTATTTCCCAGAGGAGACAAAAGAAAAATCTCATCGATATTCCAAGTTATAAGGATGTTAATTCACATAACTCATATTGATATTAAGAAGGCTTTTCTCTATAATCTTGTTTGCTCAAGTAGTGAATATTTTCTAAAGAAAGCTATGGTCATACTGTTCTCCTGTGTACTTTTCAATGTTTGGACAATTCACCTATGTCTACCTGTTTTCAATGTATATTTGTTTCATAAGAAGAAGAAGAAAAGATTGAATCTACTGCTGAGAAAAAGGTGTGCAATTCATTCTGTTGCTCATCATCTTCTGTAAGGAAAGCTATTTTTTTTCACATGCTCCGTAGAACAATATGTTTCCATTCTGACAGAAAATATATGTATGTATAATTTCTTCAGAAGGATCATTTTGAGGATAAAGGGAAGGAGCCATGTTTAAGATACTCAATACCACTTAGGCGTGGGCAAGGACTTCATGTCCAAAACACCAAAAGCAATGGCAACAAAAGACAAAATTGACAAATGGGATCTAATTAAACTAAAGAGCTTCTGCACAGCAAAAGAAACTACCATCAGAGTGAACAGGCAACCTACAACATGGGAGAAAATTTTCACAACCTACTCATCTGACAAAGGGCTAACATCCAGAATCTACAATGAACTCAAACAAATTTACAAGAAAAAAACAAACAACCCCATCAAAAAGTGGGCAAAGGACATGAACAGACACTTCTCAAAAGAAGACATTTATGCAGCCAAAAAACACATGAAAAAATGCTCATCATCACTGGCCATCAGAGAAATGCAAATCAAAACCACTATGAGATATCATCTCACACCAGTTAGAATGGCAATCATTAAAAAGTCAGGAAACAACAGGTGCTGGAGAGGATGTGGAGAAATAGGAACACTTTTACACTGTTGGTGGGACTGTAAACTAGTTCAACCATTGTGGAAGTCAGTGTGGCGATTCCTCAGGGATCTAGAACTAGAAATACCATTTGACTCAGCCATCCCATTACTGGGTATATACCCAAAGGACTATAAATCATGCTGCTATAAAGACACATGCACACGTATGTTTATTGCGGCATTATTCACAATAGCAAAGACTTGGAACCAACCCAAACGTCCAACAACGATAGACTGGATTAAGAAAATGTGGCACATATACACCATGGAATACTATGCAGCCATAAAAAATGATGAGTTCATGTCCTTTGTAGGGACATGGATGAAACTGGAAACCATCATTCTCAGTAAACTATCTCAAGAACAAAAAACCAAACACCACATATTCTCACTCATAGGTGGGAATTGAACAATGAGATCACATGGACACAGGAAGGGGAATATCACACTCTGGGGACTGTGGTGGGGTGGGGGGAGGGGGGAGGGATAGCATTGGGAGATATACCTAATGCTAGATGACGAGTTAGTGGGTGCAGCGCACCAGCATGGCACATGTATACATATGTAACTAACCTGCACAATGTGCACATGTACCCTAAAACTTAAAGTATAATAAAAAAAAAGAAAAAAAAAAAAGAAAAATCTTCAAAGTGACATAGATACACTAATAGAGCATATCGATTTTTCTAGTTAATTATTTGATTATATTGTCTTGGAATCTTTCAAACATTCAAGAGAGATAGTTTGAAGATCCTCCTTCCTCTGATGAATTTCTAAGGTACTGTTATTACATCTCATACATGACTGAAGAACCAAGCTGCCATGATCTGAAAATTGATCATGAAATTTTGAGGTCATAAAATAATATACAACTGGATCAAGACAACAATTCAGATTTGCAAGACACAGGGAAATAATGTGGAAACAGAGAATGATCTTTATAAAAGAGCAGTTCAAAAAGACATGTTCCTTCACCATCATAAAGAATGGGAAGTTGAGGTGGTAAGGAGTGAAACACACAATGAACACCACTTCACACATCAGGACCATCCTCAAAGCCTTTTTCCTCTCTTTGGTATTCCTAGGGGGAACTTGGAATTCCCATAAAGATTTTCTTGTTTTCCATGTGAAATAAGTAATAATTATAATGGGTAATACAAACCCTCCAAGTTCAGCTACAGTTACCATGCCAAGGGAGGAAGCCATGCTAATGTGCTGAAGCCCTAAGGCAGCAAAGCAGTATTTGGTGTTGTTGGCTAAGCCAGTGCTTCTCAGAATGGGAAATGGTAAACAAGCAGTCTCCATGATGACCCCCGTCATACCTATGCTTCCAGTATATGACACTTGAGGAGAAAGAAGCACCTCTGAAGGCTGATGCATGTCAGGAAGCAAATGCTGGTATATATGTTGAGATACTTCAGGTAGAAGCACACTAGGTCAAGGGGCCCCTGGAAAGGCCAGTGGTGGCTGATGTAATAGTAAATCCAGAGGGGTAAGGACAACATGTGTGCAAGGTCAGCCACAGAGAGGTTGATAATGAAAATGATGACTTTATTTTTCTTGTTGATGAAGTGACACAGAACCCACACGGCCACAGTGTTGGCTAGAAGACCAGGTATGAATATGAGCATATAGGTAGTTTTATAGAGGGAGTACTGAAATGGCATTTGAAGATCAGTGCATTTTGCTCTTGTGCTGTTTGTGCTGTTATTCCCATCTTGAAGACTTATGTTCCTTCCCTAGTAAAGCATTAGAATGACAATTTCGGCAGAAAATAGAGTAAAATTAGAGTCAAGGGCATGTCAGTTCATGTTTGGGTATACAAATATATTTGTTTTCTAATAAAGAAGAATTTGTGTAAACTGTTATAAATTCAAAAGTGTCTACGTAAACTAAAAATAACAGACCAATCTACAAATGGATAACAGTATTGAGGATGATATTTTCAGTAATACAAAAGATTAGTATTTTTGCAATAATCTCAGTTATATTTTTCCCTTAGTATTTAACAGAGAAGTAATCAAACTTGTAGACTTAACCAACAGGCAAGACCCTACTGCAAAATAGCCCCCAGACATAAATTTCAAAACTGTCATGAGGTTACACATTTTAGTTTTACTGTTTTCACCTGTATTTTTAAACTTTAAGTTCTAAATAAATCCCTCATCATCAACCCAGGGAGAGCGAAAATTTAATTTATTGTCAACTGCAACCTTGTAAATAGGTGACTGCCAAGGCACATCTGTGAACCTTTGTGAATAAGACATAGGATAGGAGCCTGGGGAAGGGCTGGCAGGTTACCAGTACTCAGAATGATAGGGGCTTGAAAAAGACAGTGCTACTCAGATAATCTTTGCCTCCTACAGAATTTGGCAGAGGGCAAAATTTGTCTTCCTTATATGTCATTGTACTTTTCAGAAGCTCCTATAACTAAAGTTCTGTGTTTATTAACATAATTATGGTAACCTCAGACATTCACATTTATTGGGACTATCCTTGCAACTACTTTAGGCAACTACCAGAGTATGTGAAGGACTAGAGTGTATCTGGTAGTAGATACAGTAAAAAGCAGCTATCTCTCTTTCAGCTCTCAGGGCAAGTCCTGTGAAAACTATTATTATAGGTGGTTCAACTTTTAAAAATCAGTAGTGGCCGGGCATGGTGGCTCACGCCTGTAATCCCAACACTTCGGGAGGCCGAGGCGGGCGGATCACGAGGTCAGGAGATCGAGACCATCCTGGCTAACATTGTGAAACCCCGTCTCTACTAAAAATACAAAAAATTAGCCGGGCGTGGTGGTGGGCGCCTGTAGTCCCAGCTACTCTGGAGGCTAAGGCAGGAGAATGGGGTGAACCCGGGAGGTGGGGCTTGCAGTGAGCAGAGATCGCACCACTGCACTCCAGCCTCCGTCTGAAAAATAAATAAATAAATAAATAAATAAATAAATAAATAGAATTTTCTTCCCTTTAGTGAGTCAGATCTGTTCTATCATTTCAACTTATTTCTGCCTGCTAAGGCCAAATAAAATAAAGTCATGTTACACATCTTCAAATATCTGAAGGCAGCAATCCTGTCCTCTCTCAAATCTTTCTTATTCAGGTTAAACACTCATTTCTAAATAATATGACATGGTCCTTGCTCTTGGTTTTCTTTGTTGTCAGAACATTATGGGTTTTGTACAAAAGCCACTACGGTACAGTTTATTTTACCCTTGAAAACGACAGTTTAACTACATAAATGTTTGATGCTTTTAGCAAATATATGACTGTGCCTCTGATTGCAGAAACAAAAGGATAAGTGGGGTTTTAATACTCCCTTGTACTTTTTGTTGCTTGCAAACACAGTTAGATTGCTACACATGTTTACGGAATTAAAAAAAAATGAGACAGCCTTAATTAACACTACCTGGTACTCAAGTACAAAAGTAAATTGACATTTTTGCAACAATTCTTGAAATATGAGTTTGGAAAGCAGCATAAGATTTAAGACAGTGTCTCAAACACAACCAATTAAAAAGTATACAAAGGCAGTCTACCCACATACAGCCCATACAGTGCCAAACAATCTATTTGATGTCTTTTCACTGACTACACGGAGCTTCCAGATAGACTGTATTTACTGAGCTGACAGTTCATTGCAAGAAAACAACTAGCTCATTCAAGCAAACAGCTACTCTGAATGATTTTTTTTTTCTGTGTATTAGCTATTTTGCTGAATCGGCCAGTTAGTCTAGTAAACTGTTTATTTCTAGCTAAAAATAAAAGTAGTAGAGCTTATTTCTATCTAAACTCTTTATTATGTTCATCTAAAGACAGAGACAACACTATCTTTTCTTGTGGTTATCTATTTGTTTATCCATTGAATTAACTAAAATAATTGATTTTGTGTTCTGTACATTCAGTCTAAATTTTAAAACACCATGTAAACTTGAAATAAAATAAAATTAAGAAAATAAAATTAAGAAAAAGTTAATATACATGAAGTCTTTAGTTTTGTTATAAAATGATTAACAATCACAGAGTACCTAATTTGGGCTAGGCGCTATGCTAAGTACTTTATATATACTGTGTCTCAATCTCTGATAACAATTCTATGAAACAATAAAATATTATTGCTATTTTTCAGATGGGGAAACTGAGGCCCCAATAAAGGCAAGTTCCACTTCTATGAATCCTTTCTTTATCTCTCCAAATCGCAAGCCATTCCTCTGGCTGGCCACAGACTATCCATAGTTATGTTCATTTTCTTTAGTGAGAATGCACTTAACAAATTCAGCATGGTGTAGTTACTTGCCTTTCTGTGGAGTCTATTTTGTTGTCCTAAATACATAGCAATCTTCTACATATCAAAGACATATTATCTTACTTCTTGCTTTCCGTTATAGTAAAGTGTCCAGTAAAGTGCCATGAACATGTAAAGGGTCCACTAAGTGCTTGTTGGGTGAATAACTGAATGCATGATGAATAAATGCATCTGAAAAAAATGAAAAAATATCCCAATGAAACGAAGTGAATGAGTGTCTGGTGGGGGGGTGGTTAGAATTTAGCTGTGATGTTTGACGTGACCACTAGGTGTCATAACTATACCAAGGTTCAAATATCTTTTGACATTCAACACGTACTTTGATTTAAAATTCCATTAAGGGAGAAATACAGGGTGAGAAGTACGAACAACATCCTGTGTAGCTTCAGAAGCAGAATCCTTTAAAGTGTCTTTTAGAGGGTTTGGGGTTATTTTATTTTGTTTTTTCAGCCTCCATACTTCCTCATATTTTTGCTTCTAAATGCATTCTAGATTCCTAGAATATTAGAGCTTTTAACAGACATCAAAATGTTCTGATTGAGTTATTTTTACTTGAGAAAACCAAGGTCAAAAAACGGGGTACTAAAATTTTCAAATTCACACAGAAAGTTAGTGGCAACAGCTCAACCAGGATCACTTGCTTCATATTGCAGAGCAATTTCTACTTTTCTAAAAGCTTCTATGATGAAAACCACATTTTTGTTAATTATCTAATAATAATGCAAATGTTGAGAAATAAACCAATGCCAGATTTTAGACCACTAACCTTGACAGTGAATTTTTGTATGATGAATTAGTTTCTTCCAGGACAAATACAATACTTTCTAAAATGAGTATTTCTAATCACTAATGGTAGGATTGTATAAGAAGGCTGCTTAAAAATCTTAGATTAGATTACGTTGTTTTTAAACTTCTGTTATTTCTCCACACAAGAAATAGAGTTTCACTTTAGAAAACAGAGAAAAGCAAAACCAAACAAATTTTATATCTCTCTCTAAATGTGTGTGTATATATGTGTACATATATATACGTGTGTGTGTGTTTGTGTGTGTGTATAGAAATATAAAACCAGAATTCCCATTGTTAACATTTTGGTGTATAACCTTCCATACTTATTTTTTTTTCTATGCACGTGGAGCTATAAATTAATATATATAGCTATTTTAACCAAATTTGACTCATACAGACATATAATTTTATAGTCATTTTTAATTCGTTTAAACATAATTATTGTATTCTCCCACATCAATAAATATCTAAATAATAATTTTAATAAATACTTAGAATTCCATCAGAATTATATACCATAATTTATTTAAGCAGTAGACAGGTAGATTCCCAATTTTTACTATCAGAAACAATGCCTTGATAAACCTTATTTTACACCCATTTTTGTACATTTGAGCAACTACTTCCTTTGGAAAAGTTCTTAGAAGTGTAATTGCTTGGCTTTTGATGCAGAATGCTAAATTACACTCCAGGATGGAACCTTATAGGAAATTTCAAATTAAATGCTCTTTTTTATAACGTCACAATGTCAAATCTATTGGTTTTCCAAAATATATCAAAATTTGTTTAGCTAAAGGAAAAATATAGTGTAGAGAATTTTGACTCATCCTTAATTTTTATAAATGATAAATTGTGTCTTTATGGTGTACAATGTGATCTTTTGATATATATACATTAAAGAATGTTTAAGTCAAGTTAATATATCTATCACCTCACATACCATTTTTTGATGAAAACATGTAAAATCTACATTCTTAACAAATTTAAGTATACTATACATTGTTATTATATTGCCATGCTGTACAATAGATCTCCAGGACTTATGACTCATTCTTTAAGGCCCAGCTCAAAAGTAACTTCATCTACCTTGTCACAAATCATATTAAACAGAGTTTATCATTCTCGATTTATAACTATGCTTTTCAAATTTAAGCATACCTCAGAATCATCTGGAGAGCTGTTCTACCCACAGAGTTTCTGATTCAATAGGCCTGGAATGAGGCCCAAGAATTTGTATTTCTAAGAAGTTTCCATGTGATCGAGGGGCCACAATTTCAAAATCACTGATTTAACACACCCTTGATATCCCAAGGATTGTGTTTATCTGAGAGGCCCAGTATATTATCTCCTTACAAATATTGTGAATCATCTAGTTAAATAAATAATTGATGTTTCCTTCTCTACTTTAGATGTGGATGTGAGAAAAGTCACAGAAAAGTTTTAGCTAAACTTTTATAAATGTGTAATATGATCTGGCCTGTTTATCCACATTCACTTATTTCTCCTGTCTAGACCATGTGGGACAAAAGTGATAATAAAACAGAACAAAGATAATGACAAAAATATTGCATTGTGTTTAGGTTTTAGAAAAAAAACTGTTCAAGATCTCATGTTAAAAAAAAAAAACACTTCTGCAATTGGATGAGTGTGACAGCTCTTTCAATGCCATTATGACAAGTTAAGATTTTAATAGATATTTTTACCACAGTGGGTCTTTGACAAAGTTTAATAAACTTATAACTAAAACATTCTTATCTAGCAGACTCAATTTAAAAATTATTAATTCTCAGAATAACTGCTGTTTTATGGCTTATTTACTTATATAAAAAACGTTTCCAAAAATTCAAAACTACTGTAAGACAAAACATGTATCATAGATAAATGAATGATGTCATCTCACAATTCCTATCTTCTCTTTGGGTATCAGAAACCTAAAAACAGTAAGTTCAATCAAAGTAAAAAAGGCATTGGTCTTAAAATTGTTCATTAGCTTTCAAAATCTAGCTGGTACAAACTTTGTTAATTTTTAATTAATTTTTATCTTTAAAGAAAAATTTCTTGTTTTATTTTTTTCCACAAAATTGTGGAGGCTTATAAACTTTCTCCCATACCCAACTTAGAATTTGTTACCTGATTCTAATATATTTTGATTTCAGTTTTCTGAATTTATTTATTTTTCTTTCTGACAGTCAATGCAGCATAGTGCTTCCAACCACAGGCTTTGGAATCAGACAGACCTGAGTTTGAATACAAGTTGCCTTGCTTATGGGTTGTTTTTCCTAATTTATCTGAATCCACAGCTTCTTCTACTGTACAATATATACCATTGTTGTTTACATTCAAATAAGTAAGCTAATTTATGCAATGCATGTATCTGGTACATAGTAATAACACAACAGGAGTTTTAATTACCATAATTCATTTTATGTAATTCTTCTGAGTCATGAAAAGAGATGAAATATAAATACATTTCAAAATCCAGCTTAAGTTGCACATACCCAAGGAAGCTACTCCCGAACTCTCTAGTTTTTGTTGACCTCAACTTTCTTGGATGTTTTGCAGTATCTCACAACTTACATCACATCACATCAGCTTATAATAACAAAATTGCTGAGAATTTCATGTGTGCCAATCACTGTATATAAATATATATTATATCACGTAAACTTCATTACAATCATATAAAGATGGTTATACTGTCTTTATATCCATTTCACCATTGAGCAATGGTCAAATTTTTTGCCCATGGTTAAACTTCTAGTTTGTGATGGAACAGGGATTTAAAACCAAGGAATCTGATTCCACAGTTTACATTATGCCCTGTTACTTACCACTAGTAAATTATTTGCTATTGTATCTAGGATATTCGTCTTGAGCATGAGACCCCTGACAAACATCTTCTCTTATGTCCTCTGAAACACAGCCTAGACAAGTAGTGGGCAGAGAATCATGCTTTGAAAATCCCACTCCGAATATTCATGGCTTGTTCACTGGCCTCTCCAGGATTTCCCCAGCTTTCCTTCACAGGCACATATTTCTACTACGTTCTCCAGGCATTCAGACCCTTAAACTTGCTTCACAAGTAGAGAGCTCCATTTGTTTCATTAAAATATTCCAGTCCGTTCTGAAATACTAGCTCTGCAAAAAGCTCCCAAATAGATGGTAATCCATCTAGACAGGAGGCAACGTTCTCTTTTCTCCAGCTGCAGGATTATGAGGGTTTCTCACCTCTGCCCGGCAACGCCTACTGGGTAGGGCTAGAAATAGCTGATTGTTTCAGATAACAAAAGGCTTGAGAATGAAATAGTCTCACTACCATTTTGCTCCTTTGGTTGTTGTTGAATTTCATGTTTCTTACTGGGGACTGAGCCAGCAGAGATGGTTGCAGAACACTACCTCCCCAGAAAGGATGTAAGGCCCACGTTGTTAGTGCCGGAGATGAAAGACTCTACCCATGGAAAATAAAAATGATCATTTTAATTTTCACATTAACGACCTTATTTGGTGAGGCGCAGGCAAAAAGTGGTGAAGCAACTTGCCTAGGGATAAAGGGCCTTGTTGCAAATTCAGCTTTAAAGTGTAGCTAGAAATCAGCCCTTTCACTCTAATAACCTTTCTACTTCACCTGGCTGGCTACTTGATGAGAGAAGAAAGTGCTGAGTGAACCTCCTGAAAATCAGGTACACTGGTGTAGGAGAAGGCATAGAACAGATGGATTTTTCAGTGGAAAGGAGAGATGGGCATCAAAAGGAATTTTTGACTACACTAATTTAGCCTTTCTTTTTTTCTTTTTTTACAGACATGCTGAATTATTATTTAATTTAGTTAATTATTTTACTTTTTATTTTTTATTTTATTTTATTTTACTTTAGGTTCTGGGATACATGGGCAGAACGTGCAGGATTGTGACATAGGTATACATGTGCCATGGTGGTTTGCTGTGCCTATCAACTCATCATCTATGTTTTAAGCCCTGCATGCATTAGGTATTTGTCCTAATGCTATCCCTTCCCTTGACCCCAAACCCTGACAGGCCCTGGTGTGTGATATTCCCTTCCCTGTGTCCATGTGTTCTCATTGTTCACCTCCCATTTAGGAGTGAGAACCTATGGTGTTTGCTTTTCTGTTGCTGTGTTATTTTCCTGAGAATGATGGTTTCCAGCCTCATCCATGTTCCTACAAAGGACATGATCCCATTCTTTTTTATGGTTGCATAGTGTTCCATGGTGTATAAGTGCCACATTTTCCTTATACAATCAATCGTTGACAGGCATTTGGATTGGTTCCAAGTCTTTGCTATTGCAAAAAGTGCTGCAATAAACATACGTGTGCATATTTCTTTATAGTAGAATGATTTATAATCCTTTGGGTGTATATCGAGTAATGGGATTGCTGGGTCAAATGGTATTTCTGGTTCTAGACCCTTGAGGAATCACCACACTGTCTTCCACAATGATTGAACTAATTTATACTCCTACCAACAGTGTAAAAGCATTCCTATTTCTCCACAGCCTTGCCAGCATCTGTTGTTTCCTGACTTTTTTAATAATTGCCATTCTGTCTGGCGTGACATGATAGCTCATTGTGGTTTTGATTTGCATTTCTCTAATGACCAGTGATGATGAGCTTTTTTTCATATGTTTGTTGGCCACACAAATGTCTTCCTTTGAGAAGTGTCTGTTCACATCCTTCCTCCACTTTTTGATGGGGTCGTTGTTTTCTTGTAAATTTGTTTAATGTCTTTGTAGTTTCTGGATATCAGACCTTTGTCAGATAGGTAGATTGCAAAAATTTTCTCCCATTCTGTAGGTTGCCTGTTCACTCTCTTGATAGTTTCTTTTGCTGTGCAGAAGCTCTTTAGTTTAATTAGATCCCATTTGTCAATTTTGGCTTTTGTTGCAATTGTTTTTGGTGTTGTAATCATGAAGACTTTGCCCATGCCTATGTCCTCAATGGTATTGCCTAGGTTTCTTACAGGGTTTTTAAGGTTTGGGGTTTTACATTTAAGTCTTTAATCCATCTTGAGTTAATTTTTGTATAAGATGTAAGGAAGGGGTCCAGTTTCTGTTTTCTGCATATGGTTAGCCAGGTTTCCCAGCACCATTTATTAAATAGGGAATCCTTTCCCCATTGTTTGTTTTTGTCAGGTTTGTTGAAGATCAGATGGTTGTAGATGTGAGGTGTTATTTCTGAGGTCTCTGTCTGTTCCATTGGCGTATATATCTGTTTTGGTACCGGTACCATGCTGTTTTCATTACTGTAGCCTTGTAGTATAGTTTGAAGTCAGGCAGTGTGATGCCTCCAGCTTTGTTCTTTTTGCTTAGAATTGTCTTGGCTATATGGGCTCTTTTTGGGTTTCATATGAGAATTAAAGTAGTTTTTTTTTTTTAATTCTGCAAAGAAAGTCAATGGTAGCTTGATGGGAATAGTATCAAATCTATAAATTATTTTAGACAGTATGGCCATTTTTATGATATTGATTCTTCCTATCCATGAGCATGAAATGTTTTCTCATTTGTTTGTGGGCTCTCTTATGTTTTTGAGCTGTGGTTTGTAGTTCTCGTTGAAGAGGTCCTTCATGTCCCTTGTATGTTATATTCCTAGGCATTTTATTCTCTTAGTAGGAGTTGTGAATGGGAGTTCACTCATGATTTGACTATCTGCTTGTCTATTGTTGGTGTATAGGAATGCTTGTAATTTTTGCACATTGATTTTGTATCCTGAGACTTTGCTGAAGTTGCTTATCAGCTTAAGGATGTTGTAGGCTGAGATGATGGGGTTTTCTAAATATGCAATCATGTCATCGGCAAACAGAGACAATTGCATTCCTCTCTTCCTATTTGAATAGGCTTTATTTCTTTCTCTTGCCTGATTGCCCTGGCCTGAACTTCTAATACTATGTTGAATAGGAATGGGGAGAGAAGGCATCCTTGTCTTCTGCCAGTTTCCAAAGGGAATGATTACAGCTTTTGCCAATTCAGTATGATATTCGCTATGGGTTTGTCATAAATAGCTCTTAGTATTTTGAGATGTGTTCCATCAATACCTAGTTTATTGAGAGTTTTTAACATGAATGGATGTTGAATTTTATCAAAGGACTTTTCTGCATCTATTGAGATAATAATGTGTTTTTTTTTGTCATTGGTTCTGTTTATGTGATGGATTATGTTGATTGATTTGCATATGTTGAACCAGCCTTGCAGCTCAGGGATGAAACCTACTTGATCATGGTGCCAGTATTTTATCGAGGATTTTCGCGTTGATGTTCTTGAGGGATATTGGCCTGAAATCTTCTTTTTTGTTGTGTCTCTGCCAGGTTTTGGTATCAGGATGATGCTGGCCTCATAAAATGAGTTAGGGAGAAGTCCCTCTTTTTCTATTGTTTGGAATAATTTCTGAAGGAATGATACCAGCTCCTTTTTCTACCTCTCATTCAATTCAGCTGTGGATCCATCTTGTCCTGGGCTTTTTTTTTTTTTTTTTTTTTTTGGTTGGTAGGCTATTAATTACTGCCTCAATTTCAGAACTTGTTATTGGTCTATTCAGGGATCCGGCTTCTTCATAGTTTAGTCTTCGGAGGGTGTATGTGTCCAGGAATTTATCCATTTCTTCTAGATTTTCTAGTTTATTTGCATAGAGGTGTTTATAGAATTCTCTGATGGTAGTTTGCATTTCTGTGGGATCAGTGGTGAGTCCCCTTTATCATTTTTTATTATGTTTATTTGATTATTCTCTCTTCTCTTTTTTATTTATCTAGCTAATGGTCTATCTATTTTGTTAATCTTTTCAAAAACCTAGCTCCTGGATTCCTTGATTTTTTTAAAGTGTTTTCATGTCTCTATCTCCTTCAGTTCTGCTCTGATCTTAGTTATTTCTTCTCTTCTGCCAGCTTTTGAATTTCTTTGCTGTTGCTTCTCTAGTTCTTCTAATTGTGATGTTAGGGTGTCAATTTTAGATCTTTCCAGCTTTCTGATGTGGACATTTAGTGCTATAAATTTCCCCCTTAACACTGCTTTAGCTGTGTCCCAGATATTCTGGCACACTGTCTCTTTGTTCTCATTGGTTTCGAAGAACTTCATTATTTCTGCCTTAATTTCATTATTTACCCAGTAGTCACTGAGGAGCCAGTTGTTCAGTTTCCATGTAGTTATGTGGTTTTGAGTGAGTTTCTTTCTTTCTTTTCTTCTCCTTTTTTTTTTTTTTTTTTTTTTTTTTTGTGAAGGAATTTTGCTCTTGTCGCCCAGGCTGGAATGCCATGGCACAATCTCGGCTCACTGCAACCTCCACCTCCCAGTTCAAATGATTCTCCTGCCTCAGCCTCCCTCAGAGCTGGGATTACAGGCACCTGCCACCAAACCCGGCAAATTTTTGTATTTTTAGTAGAGACAGGGTTTTGCCATGTTGGCCAGGCTAGCCTTGAACTCCTGACCTCAGGAGATCCACATGCCATGGCCTCCCAAAGTGCTGGAATTACAGGCATTAGCCACCACAACTGGCCTTGAGTGAGTTTCTTAATGCTGCATTCTAATTTGATTGCACTGTATACTGAGAGACTGTTTGTTATGATTTCCATTCATTAGCATTTGCTAAGGAGTGTTTTACTTCCAATTATGTAGTTTATTTTAGAATAAGTGCCATGTGGCACTGAGAAGAATGTATATTCTGTTGATTTGGGGTGCAGAGTTCTGTAGATGTCTATTAGGTCCACTTGATCCACAGCTGAGTTGAAGTCCTGAATATCCTTGTTTACTTTCTGTCTTGTTGATCTGTCTAATAATGACAGTGGGGTGTTAAAGTCTCATTATTATCTTATTATTGTGTGGGAGTCTAAGTCTCTTTGTATATCTCTGAGAACCTGTTTTGTGAATCTGGGTGCCCCTGTTTTGGGTGCATATTTATTTAGGAGAGTTATCTCTTTTTGTTTCATTGATCGCTTTACTATTATGTAATGCCCTTCTTTGTCTTTTTTGATCTTTCTTTGTTTAAAGTCTGTTTTATTGGAAACTAGGATTGTAACCCCTGCTTTTTTTTTTTTTTTGCTTTCTATTTGCTTGGTAAATATTCTTCCATCCCTTTATTTTGAATCTATGTGTCTCTTTGCATGTGAAATGGGTCTCCTAACTACAACACAGTGATGGATTTTGACTCTTTATCCAATTTGCCCATATGTGTCTTTTAATTGGGACATTTAGTCCATTTACATTTAATGTTAATATCGTTATGTGTGAATTTGATCCTGTCATCATGATGCTAGCTGGTTATTTTGCATATTACTTGATGCGGTTTCTTCATAGTGTCAATCGTTTTAATATTTTGGTGTGCTTTTGCAGTCGCTGGTACTCGTCTTTCCTTTCCATATTTAGTGCTTCCTTCAGAAACTCTTGTAAGGCAAGTCTGGTGGTGACAAAATGCCTCAGCATTTGCTTGTCTGGAAATGATTTTATTTTTCCTTCACTTGTGAAACTTAGTTTGACTGGATATGAAATTATTGGTTGAAAATTCTTTTCTGTAAGAATGTTAAATATTGGCCCTCACTGTCTTCTGGCTTGTAGGGTTTCTGCAGAGAGATCTGCTGTTAGTCTGATGGATTTCCCTTTGTAGGTGACATTACCTTTCTCTCTGTCTGCCCTTAACATTTTCCTTTCATTTCAACCTTGGAGAATCTGATGATTACGTGTCTTGGGGTTGCTCTTCTATTGGAGTATCTTAGTAGTGTTTTCTGTATTTCCTGGATTTGAATGTTGGCCTGTCTTGCTACATTGTGGACGTTCTCCTGGATAATATCCTGAGGTGTGTTTTCCAACTTGGTTCCATTCTCCCTGTCACTTTCAGGTGCACCAATCAATCGCAGCTTTGGTCTTTTCACCTAGCCCCAAATTTCTTGAAGGCTTTGTTCATTACTTTTCATTATTTCTCACTAATCTTGTCTTCATGCCTTACTTCAACAAGATGATCTTCAATCTCTGATATTCCTTCTTCCACTTGATTGATTCAGCTATTGATACTTGTGTAAGCTTCACGAATTTCTTGTGCTGTGTTTTTCAGTTCCATCAGGTCATTTATGTTCCTCTCTAAACTGGTTATTCTAGTTAGTTCCTGTAACCTTTTATCAAGATTCTTAGCTTCCTTGCATTGGGTTAGAACATGCACCTTTAGCTCAGAGGAGTTTGTTATTACTCACCTTCTGAAGCCTACTGCTGTCAAATCATCAATCTCATTCTCTGTCCAGTTTTGTGCCCTTGTTGGAGAGGAGTTGCGATTATTTGGAGGAGAAAAGGCATTCTGGTTTTTGAAATTTTCAGCATTTTTGTGCTGGTTTTTCCTCATCTTTGTGAATTCATCTACCTTTGATCTTTGAGGCTGATGACCTTTTGATTGGGTTTTTGTGGGGGGTGTTTTATGTTGATGTTGATCTTGTTACTTTCTGTTTGTTTGTTTTTCTTCTAATAGTTGGGCCCTCTTCTGCAGGTCTGCTGCAATTTGTTGGAGGTCCACTCCAGACCCTGTTTGCCTGGGTATCACCAATGGAGGCTGCAGAACAGCAAAGATTGCTTCCTGCTCCTTCCTCTGGAAACTTTGTCTAACATGATTGTAAGTTTCTTGAGGCCTCCCCAACCCTGAGGAACTGTAAGTCAATTAAGTCTTTTTCTATATAAATTACCCATTCTCAGATAATTCTTTATAGCAGTGTGATAAAATACTAATATATTTGATTATGTTAACCACTCACTAATTATTGAAATACTTTCTTTCCTTGTTTTTTGTGTTTCCACACTTTTCTCTTTTTCTTCCTTTTCTGACTGCTCCTTATTTTACTGTGGATTTTCTTCTGTTGATTCCACAAATGGCAGCCTTCCCCAAGTTGTAATCTAAGCCTTCTTTTTTTTCACTATAACTACTTTCTCTGGGCTGTCTCTTCTACTTCTATATCTTCAATTACTGTATATAAGATTATGATTTCAAAATCCATAGTTCCAGTCTATAGCTATCTCCTGAGCTCTCATTACACACACACACACACACACACACACACGTACATGCATACACACATATATATGTACCAGTAAATATAGCTATTTAATTACTTGTGTGTCCCATAGGCATTTAAGATTTAAAATTTTTAAACAAAGCATAAAATTTATTTTAAAAAGCATGTCCATTTCTTACTAGAACCGCCACATACTAAGGGACAATAAATCCTGATTTTCCTGGCACAGTCCTAGTTTACATCTGTTATTCCAGAGTAACTAATAATGTCACACTCTCTCAGTCTTAAAAGTGTCTGAGTTTGGATGATATTATTTGATCACTCTTCCATATATACATTTACACAATGTAAATGATACCTTTAACATATTCACCTACTAATACCCTCACACATTATCATCAAATTCTATGATTTTTATCTTCTTAAATTTTTAAAATTTAGCCACTTCTCTGTGTCACCTCTATTCTGATTCAAAGAGCCATCATTTCTTTATTTCTTATTATTTTCAGCATCTACCGATTACTTCTACTTTCAATTATGCCCATTATAATCAATATATTTTTAACTAAAAGAGATATTTCTAATTGCCAAATCTGTCAAGCCACTCTACTATTTAATTCAATTAAGGGTTCTCTGTATCATTAAAACAAACTCCTTACTATAGTTTATTTAAGTTCTATAAGCATATCACTCTAACTTCATTTATACAACTCTACTCCTCACCACCATTCTGTGCTTCCACCAAGCTGAAGTACTTGCATTTCCATAATGTATGAAGCACTCTGTTATATCTATAATATTGTACAAATATTCTTTGTTCTTGAGATGTTCTTTCCTCAATTTTTATTTGATTAACTGACTTCTCTTCAGTTTCTAACTTACAATTATACTTTGGAATGCCTTCTCTGACTTCTCTTTAAGTCTGAGGTAGATAGTTTTCTGTGCCACCTGTATTTCCTTATTGAATATATCACTCACTAGGTATTTCACTTTCAGGCAGAGCCTGTGTTTCACTTGATATATTTGCATCAAGAGAATTATAAAACATTCTAGAAAGCATTAGATACTCAAAACACATCTGCTGATGTAATAAATTAAGGATTTGATGGAATTTCAGGTACAAAAGATAATATTGTTAGAAATTGGCACCCAGCATCCTCAATTTTCCCCATTCAAGTTAGAACAGACAGGCCTACATACTTCCAATTTCAGATAAGATAAAATCAACTCACTCCACCATATTCCTCTTGATAATTATAGCTAAAATCTCTGTAGAGCACACAAAAAATCAGTGCCAAAATATTAAAATGTGAACAAAAAAAAAAGACTGGCTAAAGACTTCAAGAACATGACATTAAGTTTACTCTCTCTGTGTATGTGTATGTTTGTTTGCATGTGCATATATGTGTGTGTGTATGTGTGTGTGTGTCTGTGTCAGCCTTCCATATCTATATCTGGAAAGATAGATGGATATAGATATAGATGATATAGAGATATAGATATAGATAATATAGATATAGATAGATATAGATCCTAACCTGGGCACTGAAGAAGCTTACAAGAAAAAAATATTTTTAAGAAAGTATGAATAATAGCTTTCCACACTTTGTGTAAGACATAAAGCTATAGATTAAAAAAAAATGAGTTTCCCTTTAAAAAGGATAAATGCAAAGAAATGCACACACAGACACGCCACAATAAACCTTCTGAAAATGAAAGGCTTAAAATGAATCTTGAAAGGATCTAGGGAGAAATAGCACTTTGCTTGAGCAATTGGTTGAATAAAAGGAAAGGTTGAAATTACAACAAATTTTTAGTCTGAAATAATTCATGCTGGGAAAATTAACTTTGAGAAATAGACATTCCCAGGAGAGAAAAATTTAGTTGATTTGCTCTAAAAATTGTTACAGAAAGTTTTTCAAACACAGAGGAAATTATGACCAAAAAAACTATGAATGTCAAGAATGAAGAAAGAGGAGGTGATGTCATCAAAATGGTGGAGTAGAGTCAATCTGGCTTCACTCCCTCCCATAGAAAACCAAAAACAAATATCCAGTGCCAAGACAATAACCAGCAAAATCCCAGAACTCAAATCTGAGACTGAGATGATCTCTGGGACAACAGAGAAATAAAAATCACCAAGCAAATTGTAAGATAAACAAATTTATCTTTTTTTTGATGCTGCTTTCCCAACTTGCCAGACATCATGCATGGAAAATTCCTTTCACAATCATGGATTCCACTTTTTTTTTTTTTTTTTTTTTTTAGTATTTATTGATCATTCTTGGGTGTTTCTCGGAAAGTGAGATGAAGACAGAGGGCCTGCTTCTTCACCATCTTGCATTCCCTCCAGAAGAACCACCTCTGCTTCAACCAAAAGGAGAACTGTTAGTGCCTATTAGAAGAAAAAACCCTGAGGGCAGCTAGAGACAAAGAGGGGAAGGGGAAATAAAAACACAACCTTGCAAAACTCTTCTCTTTTTTTCAGCCAAATAAGTTGCCAAATCAGAGTGTCTGTTTAGCAATATCACACCGTAGAAAACACACTCTATAGATCTTCTAGGTATGAATCCTTAGCCAGTCTTCCAAAACAGCGTAAGTATCTCCTTTGGAACTAACCATCTGGAACAGGCAGTAAGCCAAACTTGCAAGAGGCATACCTGGGCTTAAGGTGTCATCTAGTTCCAAAAAGAAAACAGCAATTTAGGATTTAAAGGATTCACAAACACCTGTAGAGAACCTCTAAGCAAACATACCTGAGAAAGACCAAAACAAGTCAGGCAGTGAAGACTGGAATAAGTAATTAATATTTTATTGTGAAGCCATTAAAGTACACTCACAAACACACACACACACACGCACACTACACACACTACAGGAAGCAGTAAATTATGTCCTCTTCAAAAAGACAAAGGAAAATGTCAGTGACTGACCCTAACAAGATAGAAAGGTGTGCATTCTCACATAATGAATTCAAAAGAGTAGTTTTAAAGAAGCTCAGCAACTCAAAGATAACACAGAAAAGCAATTCAGAAATCTATCAGAGAGATTCAAAAAACAGATTGAAACATTGTAAAAAATCAAACAGAAATCTTGAAACTAAGAAATACATTTGCTAAATTGAAAAAAAAATGCGTTAGAGGCTCTCAACAGTAGAATGAATCAAGCAGGAAAATCAGTGAGCACAAAGACAGGATATAAAAAATTTACTATCAGAGAAGAGAAAGGAAAGCGAATCAGTAGGAATAAAAAGTATCCAGCCAGGCACGGTGGCTCACACCTGTAATCCCACCACTTTGGGAGGCTGAGGCAGGTGGATTACCTGAGGTCAGGAGTGTGAGACCAGCCTGGCCAACGTGGTTAAACCCCGTCTCTACTAAAAATACAGAAATTAGCTGGGCATGTTGGCACACACCTGTAATCCCAGCTACTTGGGAGGCTGAGGCAGGAGAATTGCTTGAGCCCAGGAGGCCGAGGTTGCAGTGAGCCGAGATCATGCCACTGCACTACAACCTGGCTGACAGAGTAAGACTCTGTCAAAAAAAAAAAAAAAAAGAAAAAAAAAGAAAACAATCCACAAGATAGAGAGAATAACCTCACAAGAGCAAATTGAAGAATGATGGATATCCAAGAAATCAAGAAACGCCAAGAGGTATAGAGTTTATTCAAAGAAATAATAACAGAACACTTTCTGAACTTAGAGTATAATATAAGTATCTAAGTACTGGAAGGCAGAGATTAAAGAAGATTAAATTCAAATAAGACTACCCCAAGGCGTGTAATAATTAAAATTGCAAAGCTCAAGAACAAAGAGAGGATTCTAAAATAGCAAGGTAAAAGAAACCAACATATAAAAAAACTCAGATTCATCTGGCAACAGACTTCTCAATGAAAACTATACAGGCCAGGAGAGAGGAGGTTGGCATATCCAAAGTGCTAAAGAAAAAAATACTCTGCCTATCAGTAATATTGTAACCAGCAAAACTATTCTTCAAACATGGAGGTAAGATAAAGTCTTTCCCAGACAAATAAAAACTGGGGGAATTCATCACCACTAGACCTGCCTTACAAGAAATGTTAAAAATAAATTAATCAACATAAAAGAAAAGTAAGCTAATTTACAATAAGAAAACATTTGAATATATAAAAGTCACTATTAAAACAAGTACACAAACAAATATAAAATTCTCTAATATAGTAATTGTGGTGTGCAATCTGTTCATATATCTAGTATGAAGACTAAAAGATGAATCTATCAAAAACAGTAAACCACAGCATCCTGTTAAGAGATAGATAATGTAAGAGAAGGGGTGGAGCAAGATGGCAGAGTAAAAGGTTCCATCAATCATCCCCCTTGTAAGGACACAGATTTAACAACTAGCCACACACCCCCAAAAAAGCACCTTCTTAAGAACCAAAAATCAAATGAGCACTCGCAGTACTGGGTTTTAACTTTATGTTGCTGAAAGAAGCACTGAAGAGGTAGGAAAAGGAGTCTTCAACTGTTGATGCCACCCCTTGAGTATACCCTGACAGCAGCTGCATGGTGCAGAGAGCGTTTGTGTTCCTTGGGGAGAGAACAAGCCAGCAATTGTGAGGCATTGAACTCAGTGCTGCCCTTGTTATAGCAGAAAGCAAAACCAAACCAAACTCAGCTAACACTCACAGAGGACACATTTAAGCCAGTGCTAGCCAGAGAGGAACTGCTGACCCCAGTGATTGGAACTTGAGTTCCTGCAATCCACACTATTGCAGACTAAAGTACTCTGGGGTCCAAAATAAACTTGAAAGGTGGTCTAGGCCACAAGGCCTGCAACACTTAAGTGAGTCCTAGGGTTGAACTGGGCCCAGAAACAGTGACTACATGACTACTGAGATACCAGCTGGGGAGGCTAATGGAGTGCCGGCATCATCCCTCCTCTAACCCCAGGCTGCTCATTTCACAGCTCCAATAGAGACCTCTTTGTTATATTTAAGAAAAGGAAAAAGAAGAGTGAGAGGAATTCTGTTTTGCATTTTGGATACCAGCTCAGCCACAGCAGGGTAGGGCACCAGACAAAGTCATTTGGCCCCTATTCTAGGCCCTAGCTCCTGAACATTTCTAGACAGATCTTGAACCTGCTGCCTTGAAGGGAAGAAGTCAGTCATACAATACACATCAACTGCTAACTAAAAAGTCCTTGGGCCCTGAACAAACAGCAGCAGTACCCAGGTGCTACGATGAGGGACTTAGGTAAGAAGTTGATACTTGCTGACCTCCAGTGAGACTCAGCATATTCTCAGCTGTGGTGGCTATGGTGTGAGATTCCTTCTGCTTGAGAAAAGTAAAGAAAATAGCAAAGGGGACTTTCTTTTACACCTTAGGTGCCAGCTTGGCAATATGGGCTTAAAGCACCAAGTGGGCTTTTAGGATTCCCGGTTCCAGGATGTGGCTCTTCAACAGAATTTCTGGCCTGGCCTGGGACAGAAGGGAGACCACTTTTCTGAAGGGTGAGTGCCAGGACAGGCTACATTCACCACAAGCTGACTGAAGACCTCTTGGGCCTTAAAAGAATATTAGCAGTAGTCTGCCAGTACTCCCCATAAGCCGTCGTTGTAGTGGCCATGGAGTGAGGCTCCTCTGCCTTTGAAAAAAAAGAGAAGTGAAAAGTAAGAAGAACTGTGCCTTGTGGTTTGAGTACAAGCTCAGCTGCAATACAGTGGAACACCGGGCAGACTTCTAAGGTTCTTTACTCTAGTCCCTGCCTCCTGGACCTCCCTGGGGCCTAGGAGAACTTGCCACCTTGAAGGCAAGGTTATAGACCTGGCTGCCTTTACCACCTGCTGATCGTAGTTCCCCAGGGCCCTAAGTGAACATCGACAGTAGCCTTGGAGTGGTTAAAGCACGCTTTGGGTGAGTTCCACTGTTGTTCTGGCTTCAGGTAAGACCCAGCACAGTTCTAAGGGTGGTAGCCATAGTTACTGGCCTTAAAGAGGAGGTAGGAAAAACAGATAGAGCTAGAAAGTTTATTCAAAGAGACATTAACAGAAAACTTCCTAAATCTAGGTAAAAATACCAATATCCAAGTAAAAAAAGGTTATAGAACCCCAAGCCAATATAACCCAAAGAAGCCTAACTCAACCTAAAGATTTCACAAGAAAATTATTAGAACTGATTAACGAATTCGGTAAAGTTGCAGTATACAAAATTAACGTACGAAAATCAGCAACATTTCAATATACCACTAGTGACAATCTGAAAAAGAAATATAAAACAATCCTATTTATAAAAGCCACACATAAAATTAAATTTCTAAAAATTAACTTAAGCAAAGAAGTAAAAGACCTCTGTAATAAAAACTATAAAACACTGATGAAAGAAACTGAAGAGGACACCAAAAAATGGAAAAATAGTCCATATTCATTGATTAAAAGAATCAATATTGTTAAACTCTCCATACTATCCAAAACAATCCACATATTCAACACAATCCCTTTCCAAACACCAATGACTTTCTTCACAGAAATAGAAAAAGCAATTCTAAGATTGACATGAAACCAAAAAAGACACAAAATGTCCAAAGCTATCCTAAGATAAAAGAAGAACCAAACGGGAGGAATCATACTACTTGACTTCAAATTATACTACAGAGCTATAGTAACCCAAACAGCATGAAATTGGCATAAATACAGATAACATAGACCAAGAGGACATAATAGAGAACCCAGAAACAAATCCACACACCTACAAAATGCCAAGAACATACACTGTGGAAAAGACAGTCTCTTTAATAAATGTCACTGGAAAAACTGGATATTCATATTCAGAAGAATGAAGGTAGGCCCCTATCTCTCACTATACACAAAAGCAAAATAAAAATTAAATAAAATCCTCCTGAGCAATTAATGAATCAATAAGGAAGTTCAGAAGAAAATTTAGTAATATCTTTAAAATAAATCAAAATGAAAACACAACATACCATAATTTATGGGATACATCAAATGTAGCAATAAGAGGGAAGTTTATAGCAACAAATGCCTACATCAAAAAAGTAGAAGTATTTCAAATAAAAAAACTCAAGGAACTAAAAAAGCAGGAACAAACCAACCCAAAATTTAGTAGAACAAAAGAAGTATTAAAGATCAAAGCATAAATAAATAAAACTAGAACAAAAAATATGAAAGACCAATGGAACTAAAAGTAAATAAGATCAATTTCAGGCTGGGCATGATGGCTCGTGCCTATAATCCCAGGACTTTGGGAGGCTGAGGTAGGTGGATCACCTGAGGTCAGGAGTTCGAGACCAGCCTGACCAACATGGTGAAACCCTGTCTCTACTAAAAATACAGAATTAGCTGGGCATAGTTACACATGTCTGTAATCCCAGCTACTTGGGAGGCTGAGGAAGAAGAATAGCTTCAACCCGGGAGGAAAAAGTTGCAGTGAGCTGAGATCATGTCATTGCACTCCTGCCTGGGCAACAAGAGTGAAAGTCTGAAAAAAAAAAAAAAAAAAAGAAAGAAAGAAAAAAAAGAAAGAGAAAAAGAAGATCAACTTTAGCTAGACTAAAAAAAGGGAGAGAAGAACCAAGTAATTTTAATCAGAAGTAAAAAAAAAGGAGACATAACAAGTGATACCACAGAAATACAAAGAATCATTAGAATAACTATATGCCAACAAATTGAAAAAACAGAAGTAGATAACTTTTCTGATACACCCAACCTACAACCTGCAATGATTGAGCCATGAAGAAATTAAAAACCTGAGAAGACAAATAATGAATAATAAAAGTGAGACAGCAATAAAAAGGCTCATAGCAAAGAAAAGCCAGGACCTGACCGCTTCACTGCTGAATTCTACCAAACATTTAAAAAAGAAGTAAAATCATTTTTACTCACATTCTTTAAAAAATTGAATAAGAAATAATATTCCCAATAATTTTCAAATTTTTTCCACATGGCCAGCATTACCTTGATACAAAAACCAGACAAAGACATAACAAAAAAAGAAACTAAAAGTAATATCCCTGGTTAACTTGGATTCAAAAACTTTTAATAAAATACTAGCAACCACATACAACAATGCATTAAAAACATAATTCATCATGATCAAGTTTGATTCATTCCAAGGATGGTTCAACATATGCAAATCAATATATGTGATACATAACATTAACAGAATCAAAGGCAAAATTACATAATGATTTTATTAGATGCCAAAAAGCATTTGAGAAAATTTAAGGTCACTTAACAACAAACTAGGTATGGAAAGAACATACCTCAAAACAATAAAGGCTATTTATAACAAATCCACAATTAACATCATATTAAATGGGAAAAAATTGAAGCTATTTCTTCATAATCTGCAATTAGACAAGGATGCCCACTTCCACCACTTTTATTCAATATAGTAGTAAAAGTTTCAACAAGAGAAATTAGGCAAGATCAAGATAAAGATATAAAGAGCATCAAAATTGGAAAGAGTCAAATTATTCTTGTCTGCTGATGACATGATGTTATATTTAGAGAACTGTAAAAGTTCCACTCAAAAACATTAAAAATGTAAAACAAATTGTAAAGTGCTTGGATAAAAAAATCAACATAGCATAATTAGCAGGATTTATATGCAGTAATAGCCAAAAAAATGAAAAAAGAAATAAAGTAATTATATTTATAATAGCTAAAAATGTGTAAAATACCTAGGAATCAATTTAACCCAAAAAGTGAAAGATCTACACAAAATCCTGTAAAACACTGATGAAAAAAGTTGAAGAGGATACAGAAAAATGGAAACATTTGTCATACTCTTGGAATGGAAGAATTACTATTGGTAAAATGGCAATACCACTGTGTTAGTCTGTTTTCACACTGCTGATAAAGACATTGGGAAGACTGGGAAGAAAAAGAGGTTTAATTGGATTTACATTTCCACATGGCTGGGGAGGCCTCATGGCAGGAGGTGAAAGGCACTTCTTACATGGTGGTGGCAAGAGAAAATGAGGAAGAGGCAAAAGCGGAAACCCCCAACAAAACCACCAGATTTCGTGAGACTTATTTACTACCAAAAGAACAGTATGGGGGAAATCACCCCCATGATTCAAATCATCTCCCCTTGGGTCCCTTCCACAACACATAGGAATTATGGGAGTACAATTCAAGATGAGATTTGGGTGGGGACACAGAGTCAAACCATATCAAACACCCAAAACAATCTACAGACTTAATGTAGTATCTGTCAGAATATAAATGACATTCTTCACAGATATAGGGAAAACATCCTAAAATTTGTATGAAACCACAGAAAATCCAAAATACCAAATAAAAATGCTGAGGAGAAACAGTACAAAGCTGGAGACATCACACACATTCTCCAAAGCCATAGTAACCAAAGCAGCATGGTACTGGCATAAAAACCCACATAGACAAATGGAACAGAATAGAGGCCTTAGCAATAAATCCACACATTCATGGTCAACTCATTTTTGACAAAAATGCCAAGAACATATACTGAGGAAAGAACAGTCTCTTCAATAAATGGTACTGGGAAAACTGAATAACCATGTGCAGAAGAATGATGACCCCCCATCTCCCACCAAATACAAACATCAAATCAAAAATAAAGACTTAAATTTGATACTTGAAAGTATAAAACTACAAGAAGAAAAATGTTTGGGGACACTCTTGAGAACATTGGTCTGGGCAAAGATGTTTTGAGTAAGACCTCAAAAACATATGTGACAAAGAAGAAACAGACAAAATTACACCAAACCTAAATGCTTCCACATGGCAAAGAAAGCCACTAACAAAATGAAGATACAACCTAAAGAATAGAAGAAAATATTTTCAAGCTATTCATTCAACAAAGGATTAATAACGAAAATATGTAAAGAATTCAAGCAACTCAATAGGAAAAAATTCTAACAATCTGATTTAGAAATGGGCAAAATATCTTACTAGACATTTCTCAAAAGGTGACATACAAATGGCAAACAAGCATATGAAAAGATACTCAATATTACCGATTATCAGAAAAATCTGAGTCAAAATTACAATGAGATATTATCTCACCCAAGCAAAAATGGCTTTTATCCAAAAAATAAAAATAAAAGACAATAAAGAATGCTGGTGAGGTTGTGGAGAGAAGGGAATGCTTTTACACTGTTGTTGGGAATATAAATTAGTACAAGCACCATGGAGAAGAGGATGGAGGTTTCTGAAAAAAAAAAAAAAAAAAAAAAAAAAAAAAGATGGTACTACCATATGATCCAGCAATCTCACTACTAGGTATTTATTCAAAGGAAGGAAAATTAATACATCATAGAGAGGCTTGCACCTTCAGGTTTATTGTAGTGCTATCCTCAATATCATAGATGTGGAAGCAACCTAAGTGTTCATCAACAAATTAATGGATTAAGAAAATGTGACACATATAAAAATGAAATATTTAGGCACAAAAAGGAATGAAGTCCTGTCCTTTGCATAAACACTGATGGAAATGGAGGTCAAAAGACAGTCATCACATGTCCTCACTTGTATGTGGGGGATTAAAAAGTGGATCTCATGAAAGTAGAGGATTGATTGGTGATTATCAGAGGCTGTGAAGGGCAGAAGTGAAGGAGAAATAGATAGCCTGCTTAACGTGTACCAAAATACTATTATATAAAATAAATAAGATCTAGTGTTTGATAGCACATTAGGATGACTATAGTTAAAAATAATATGCTATGTGTTTAAAAACAACTAGCAAAGAAGAATTGGAATGTTCTCAAAAAAAGGAGAAGATAAATGTTTGAGGTTATGGATGTCCAAATTACCTTTATTAGGTATATTATATTCATACAACATACTATCACATATATCCTACAAAATATCCCCAAAGCAGGCATAGCTAATATATGTTATGAATAAAATATTACAAAGTACCCCAAACATGTATAAAGATTATATATCAATGAAAATAATTTGAAACAAATCAGAAAAATTTTAAAAACCCAAAATTCAGTTTTAACTACAATCTAACATTTCAGGAGAAATTGAATTATTATTTTTACCCACTTTTGAAAAAACAAGCTTTCTAGGAATGCATACCATGAAATTGAATGGAGAATATATTGATTGGTAAGAAACAAAATAAAGAACAACCAGAAAAATAACATGTTCAGAAAACTATTCTTTAATAAAGGAAAATTTAAGATGACGTCAAATAATCAAATTTAATAAAAGTCATTGATAGCAGCACTGATCAACAAAAAATACCAAATGGAGCCCTTCAGGCTGAATTGGAAGGACACAAGACAGTAACTGAAACCCAAAGGAGGAAGTAAACATCACCAATGCAGGTAATTACACAAGGAAATACATAAATGAATTTCAACATCTATTTGTTTGCAGCACTTTTATTTTACTCTGCAATTTAAAGAAAAAAAATGCATAAAGCCATAACTACAAATAATTATAAACCTGTGTTGGTGGGTTTAAAATATGTAAAAAGCAATCTGTATACAAAAAAATAAAAAAGTTCAAGGAGGAAATGGGACTATAAGAGAAACATTTTCATACTATTGAAATTAAGTTGGTATTAATCTGAACCAGACTATTTTAATGTAAGATGTTAGTTGAAATCCACAAAAACCTTTTAAGAAAATAACTCAAAAACTGAAGTATAATAAGGAATAAATTAATTACAATGGTACATATATGAAACACAAATGAAGATAGAAATGAAAGGTTGAAGAAAAATGTCATAATAATATAAATCAATAAGAAAACAAATAACAAAATAGTAGATGTACATCCAACTTTATCAATAATTACATTACACATAAATTAAACACTCCCATAAAAGTCAGAGAGTGGTAGAATGGATTAAAATAAAAAACTATATACAACCAAATACTGCTTACAGAGACACAGGTTAGATTCAACGACACAGAGAGATTGAGTGTTAAAGAAAATGAAAAGATATGCTATGTAAACTGTATACAAAATAAAGCTGGAGCGGCTATACTTACATCAGACAAAACAGACTTTAGACAAAAATTGCCACTAAATACAAAGGATATGACATAATGATAAAAGGGTCATTTGATTAGAAAACAGCAATTAAAAACATGCATACATCTAACAATATAGTCCTGAAATATATGGAGCAAAAACTAACAGAAATAAGAGAAATAATCTGTTGATTTGGGGTGGAGAGTTCTGTAGATGTCTATTAGGTCCGCTTGGTGCAGAGCTGAGTACAATTCCTGGGTATCCTTGTTAACTTTCTGTCTCGTTGATCTGTCTAATGTTGACAGTGGGGTGTTAAAGTCTCCCATTATTATTGTGTGGGAGTCTAAGTCTCTTTGTAGGTCACTCAGGACTTGCTTTATGAATCTGGGTGCTCCTGTATTGGGTGCATATATATTTAGGATAGTTAGCTCTTCTTGTTGAATTGATCCCTTTACCATTATGTAATGGCCTTCTTTGTCTCTTTTGATCTTTGTTGGTTTAAAGTCTGTTTTATCAGAGACTAGGATTGCAACCCCTGACTTTTTTTGTTTTCCATTTGCTTGGCAGATCTTCCTCCATTCCTTTTATTTTGAGCCTATGTATGTCTCTGCATGTGAGATGGGTTTCCTGAATACAGCACACTGATGGGTCTTGACTCTTTATCCAATTTGCCAGTCTGTGTCTTTTAATGGGAGCATTTAGCCTATTTACATTTAAGGTTAATATTGTTATGTGTGAATTTGATCCTCTCATTATGATGTTAGCTGGTTATTTTGCTCATTAGTTGATGCAGTTTCTTCCTAGCCTTGATGGTCTTTACAATTTGGCATGTTTTTGCAGTGGCTGGTACCTTTTCTTCCTTTCCATGTTTAGTGCTTCCTTCAGGAGCTCTTGTTGGGCAGGCCTGGTGGTGACAAAATCTCTCAGCATTTGCTTGTCTGTAAAGGATTTTATTTCTCCTTCACTTATGAAGCTTAGTTTGGCTGGATATGAAATTCTGGGTTGAAAATTCTTTTCTTTTTTTTAAATTTAATTTAATTTTATTATTATTATACTTTAAGTTTTAGGGTACATGTGCCCAATGTGCAGGTTACTCACATATGTATACATGTGCCATGCTGGTGTGCTGCACCCATTAACTCATCATTTAGCATTAGGTATATCTCCTAAAGCTATCCCTCCCCTGTTCCCCCCACCCCACAACAGTCCGCATAGTGTGATGTTCCCCTTCCTGTGTCCATGTGTTCTCATTGTTCAATTCCCACCTATGAGTGAGAATATGCGGTGTTTGGGTTTTTGTTCTTGTGATAGTTTACTGAGAATGATGATTTCCAATTTCATCCATGTCCCTACAAATGACATGAACTCATCATTTTTTATGGCTGCATAGTATTCCATGGTGTATATGTGCCACATTTTCTTAATCCAGTCTATCATTGTTGGACATTTGGGTGGGTTCCAAGTCTTTGCTATTGTGAATAGTGCTGCAATTAACATATGTGTGCATGTGTCTTTATAGCAGCATGATTTATAGTCCTTTGGGTATATACCCAGTAATGGGATGGCTGGGTCAAATGGTATTTCTAGTTCTAGATCCCCGAGGAATCGCCACATTGACTTCCACAATGTTTTAACTAGTTTACAGTCCCACCAACAGTGTAAAAGTGTTCCTATTTCTCCACATTCTCTCCAGCACCTGTTGTTTCCTGACTTTTTAATGATTGCCATTCTAACTGGTGTGAGATGATATCTCATAGTGGTTTTGATTTGCATTTCTCTGATGGCCAGTGATGGTGAGCATTTTTTCATGTGTTTTTTGGCTGCATAAATGTCTTCTTCTAAGAAGTGTTTGTTCATGTCCTTTGCCCACTTTTTGATGGGGTTGTTTGTTTTTTTCTTGTAAATTTGTTTGAGTTCATTGTAGATTCTGGATATTGGCCCTTTGTCAGATGAGTAGGTTGCGAAAATGTTCTCCCATTTTGTAGGTTGCCTGTTCACTCTGACGGTAGTTTCTTTTGCTGTGCAGAAGCTCTTTAGTTTAATTAGATCCCATTTGCCAATTTCGGCTTTTGTTGCCATTGCTTTTGGTGTTTTACAGAATGGGCAAAAACTGGAAGCATTCCCTTTGAAAACTGGCACAAGACAGGGATGCCCTCTCTCACCACTCCTATTCAACATAGTGTTGGAAGTTCTGGCCAGGGCAATTAGGCAGGAGAAGGAAATAAAGGGTATTCAATTAGGAAAAGAGGAAGTCAAATTGTCCCTGTTTGCAGATGACATGATTGTATATCTAGAAAACCCCATTGTCTCAGCCCAAAATCTCCTTCAGCTGATAAGCAACTTCAGCAAAGTCTCAGGATGCAAAATCAATGTACAAAAATCACAAGCCTTCGTATACACCAATAACAGACAAACAGAGAGCCAAATCATGAGGGACCTCCCATTCACAATTGCTTGAAAGAGAATAAAATACCTAGGAATCCAACTTAAAAGGGACGTGAAGGACCTCTTCAAGGAGAACTACAAACCACTGCTCAATGAAATCAAAGAGGATACAAAGAAATGGAAGAACATTCCATGCTCATGGGTAGGAAGAATCCATATCGTGAAAATGGCCATACTGCCCAAGGTAATTTATAGATTCAATGCCATCCCCATCAAGCTACCAATGACTTTCTTCACAGAATTGGAAAAAACTACTTTAAAGTTCATACGGAACCAAAAAAGAGCCCGCATCGCCAAGTCAATCCTAAGCCAAAAGAACAAAGCTGGAGGCATCACGCTACCTGACTTCAAACTGTACTACAAGGCTACAGTAACCAAAACAGCATGGTACTGGTACCAAAACAGAGATATAGATCAATGGAACAGAACAGAAACCTCAGAAATAATGCTGCATATCTACAACTATCTGATCTTTGACAAACCTGAGAAAAACAAGCAATGGGGAAAGGATTCCCTATTTAACAAATGGTGCTGGGAAAACTGTCTAGCCATATGTAGAAAGCTGAAACTGGATCCCTTCCTTACACCTTATACAAAAATTAATTCAAGATGGATTAAAGACTTACATGTTAGACCTAAAACCATAAAAACCCTAGAAGAAAACGTAGGCATTACCATTCCGGACATAGGCATGTGCAAGGAAAATTCTTTTCTTTAAGAATGTTGAATATTGGCCCCCACTCTCTTCTGGCTTGTAGAGTTTCTGCTGAGAGATCCACTGTTAGTCTGATGGGCTTCCCTTTGTGGGTAACCAGACCTTTCTCTCTGGCTGCCCTTAACATTTTTTCCTTCATTTCAACTTTGGTGAATCTGACAATTATGTGTCTTGGAGTTGCTCTTCTCGAGGAGTATCTTTGTGGCATTCTCTGTATTTCCTGAATCTGAATGTTGGCCTGCCTTGCTAGATTGGGGAAGTTCTCTTGGATAATATCCTGCAGAGTGTTTTCCAACTTGGTTCCATTCTCCCTTTCACTTTCAGGTACACCAATCAGATGTAGATTTGGTCTTTTCACATAGTCCCATATTTCTTGGAGGCTTTGCTCATTTCTTTTTATTCTTTTTTCTCCAAACTTCTCTTCCCACTTCATTTCATTCATTTGATCTTCCATCACTGATACCCTTTCTTCCAGTTGATCGAATTAGGAGATGTTCCAGATGATCGAATTAGGAATTACCTAATGTTAAATGATGAGTTAACGGGTGCAGCACGCCAACATCACACATGTATACATATGTAACAAACCTGCATGTTGTGCTCATGTACCCTAAAACTTAAATATAATAATAAAAAAAGAAATAAGAGAAATAAACAAGTCACCACTAGTAGTTGAAGACTTTGATAGTCTACTTTCAATAATGGCTAGAACAACTTGAGAGAGGGTTAACGAGGATATACAAAACTTGAGCAACACTATAAATCAACTAAACTTAACAGATGATGATAGATCCCTACACCACACTACAACAGAATATATATTCTTCTCAAGTGCACAGTGGAACAATCTCCAACACAGAGCATACATCAAGCAATAAATTAAAGCTTAATAAGGTTAAGAGGATTAATATTTCAAAAATATATTTTCTGATTATAATGGAATACAATTTTAAAATGAATAAGAGAAGGACATTCTGGAAATTAACAAATACGAGCAAATTTGAAAACAGATTCTTAAATAAAAAATGAGTCAAAGAAAGTAACCCAAGAGAGATTAGAAAATACTCTGAATAAACAAAGATGAAAACACAACATGCTAGAACTTACTGAATACAATTAAACTAGTTCTTTTACAGAAGTTTATAGATTAGAAGACATATATTAAAAATGTCAATGATTTGAGATACTTCTTCCGTTTTAAAACTTTTGAAAAACTACAAATAAAATAAAACTTAACCCAAAGAAGCAGAAGGAACGAAACTAAACATTACAATATAAAAAGCTGACATACAGAATACAAAAATAATAGAGAAAATCAATGAAACAAAAATTAATTTCTTAAATAGGTCAATAAAATTGACACATCTTTAGGTAGACTTATCAAAACAAAAAGAAGAGAAAACTAAAACTCCTAAAATCAGGACTGAAAGAGGCACTATCATCACTGACTTAATTGAAATAAAAAGGGATTATAGGGGAATGATATGAACAACTGTATTTCCACAAATTAAATGGATAAATTTATATAATAACACAAACTTCTGAATCTGAATCAAAAATTTTAAATACTGAATAGACCTATAATAAGCAAGTAAAGAGACAAAATTGCTAATCAGGAAATTTTGCACAAAGCAAAGTTGAGGCCCACATAGCTTCACTAGTAAGTTACTCCAAATTTTTAAAGAATTAACATCAGTATTTTACAAACTCCTCTAAAAATAAAAGAGGATGGAAAACCTCCCAATTTATTCTACATTGAGGACAGCATTACCTTGATACCACAGCCAGCCAAAGATATAACAATGAAAGGAAAGAAGAGATCAATAACTGTATAAATATAAATGCCAAAATTCTCACTAAAATATCACTTTACTGAATTCAGCAACATATAGAAAAGACTACACACCATGACTAAGATTGCTTTAACATCTGAAAATCAATCAATGAAACACAGTGTATTAATGAAACAAAACAAAAAGCTGTATAATCATCTCAAAGTGTGACCCATAAAAAGATACGATACACAGCAAAATAACTGAATGATTTTACCGTACAAACAGAAGCCTGAGGAATATGTGTGGAAATGGATTTTTAGGATGTGGGGTAATGGTTGAAGAAATATAAAGTTAGGTCAAGTTGAATTTATTAATAGGGGTCCACTAAGCAGAGATTATAGTTTTAGCTTGTGGGCATGGGTAGAAATGTCTCTAAGACTTTGGTTGCTTGGTTGATTGGTTAGTTGGTTGGTTGGCATGGATCCTAAGGTGGCCTACACTAAATTAAATTGAAATGCTACAATTGCCTTGGTATACTGTACAAGATGGAATGCAAAGACTTAATGAGACTCAAATTTTAGAGTAAATTTATTGTGTAAAACCTGCGCATCCACCCCTGAGAGGGTCCAAAGGACAAACTTTTTACCATACCTGAGAGAACTACATGTGTTAGGGGAACTTAGCCCAGCATCCTTAAAGAGATCTGTGGTTACTCTTCTTCATAGGTTAGAAATAACAGTGGCAAATCCTGCCATTGTAGAGAAATCTCAATATGCAATGAGGATAACAGCATCACAGGGTTCCAGGGGCCAAGTCATTATACTAAATTGCCAATGACAAGATGGGCATGGTTAACATAATGAAGAATGGAGCCTAAGTGGTAATCAGAAGAGTTTGACTCACAGAAACCTATGGTGTTAACTGGTTGATCATGATGTCCCCACAAAAGAAATAGATATTCTACTAAATTCTTAATTAACATACATAAGTGGAAAAGTTTTAGGTCTAGTGAACAGAAATCTAACTTGAACTACCAATTTATAGTCATGGCTGCACATTCAATTCCCTGACTTAAGATAGTGTATAGACCCAGAACCCCTTTTATGAAGGAAAGGACAGATCCTCTAAAGAATGACCTTGGTATACTGCCAAAAATATATACTCTTAGTCTTTCTCTCATGACCTACTCATCTATAAAAGTGACTGTTAATTGGGGAAACTGAAATAATCAGACTATTCAGGAGTTACTGGACACTGGGCTCTGAAGTGACACTAACTTCAAGAGACCCAAAATGTTACCATGGCCCAACAATTAGAATAGAGGTTTATAGAAGTCAGTTGATCAATGAAGTTTTAGCTCAGGTTCATCTTACAGTGCACCCAGTAGGTCCCCAAACCCATCCTATTATTGTTTCCCAACTTTCAGAATGTGTAATTTGGATAGACAAACTCAGCAACTGTAAGAATCCCCACATTTATTCATAACCAATGGAATGTGGGCAGTTATGGTAGAAAACTCAAATGGAAGCCACTAGAACTGCCATTATATAAGAAAATAATAAACCAAAATTAATATCACATTCCTAGCAACATTTCAGATTAGTGCCATCATAAAAAAAACTTCAAAGATATAGGGGTGATGGTTTTCACCAAATACCCATTCAACTCACCTACTTGGCCTACGAAGAAACAGATGACTGTTGGAGAATAATAGAGATTATCATAAATTTAATAAAGTGGTGATTTTATTTGAAGCTTCTGTTCTAAATGTGGTTTTGTTCCTTAAACAAGTAGCCCAGTCCTGGGTACATTGCATCTTTTGGTCTAGGAAATGCATTTTTTTTCTCGCACCTGCTAGTAAAGACTACCAGAAACAGTTTGCTTTCAGCTTACAAGGTCAGCAATATACATTCACTGTCCTATCTCAGGATTGTAGCAACTCTCCATCTTTATATAATTTAGTCCATAGTGTCCTTGATCACCTTTCCTTTGCACAGACTTAGGGATATCATGGTGGTCCATTACACTGATAATATTATGTTGACTGGAGTTGTTGAGCAGGAAGTAAGAATAACTCTAGGCAAAACATTAAGACATTTGCGTACCAGAAAGTTGAAAATACATTCCACAAAATAACTGGAGGCTTCTATCTCAGTAAAATTTCTAGGTGTCTAGTGGTGTGGGGCATGTTGAAATAGCCCTCCTAAGGTAAAACATAAGTTGCTGTATCTGCTCCCTCATACCACAAAAAACAGGCATAGCACTAAATCAGCCCTTTTCAATTTTGTGGAGGCAACAAATTCTACATTTGTGTGGGCTACTTCAGCCCTGGTGTGGTTTGAATGTTTGTGTCCCTTCAAATTTATATGTTGAAATTTAATCACCAATGTGATAGTATTAGGAGGGGAGGGTCTTTGGGATGTCATTAGATCATAAGGGTGGACCTCTTATGAATGGGATTAGTGTTCTTATAAAAGAGACCCCAGACAGCTGCCTTGCCTCTTCCACATGTGAAAACACACAAGATGGTGCCATCTGTTAACCAGAAAGTGGTTTATCACCAAACACCAAATCTACTGGTACCTTGATCTTGTACTTCCCTTGATCTTGTAGCCTCCAAAACTATGAGATATAAATTTTTGTTGTTTATAAGCTACCCAGTTTGTGGTATTTTATTAGAGCAGATCAAATGAACTAGGACAAGTCCATTTACTGAATGACCTAAGAAACTGGTTGTTTTCAGTGAGGTCCAGAAAAAGAGAAGTTCCCAAGAAGTCATGGCTGCTATGCAAGCTGCTCTGCCACTTGGGCTACATAATGCAGCTGATATGATGGTGTTTTAAGTGTCAGTGAATGATAAATATGCTGTTTGGAGCCCTTGGAGGTCTCTGTAAGTGAATCATAATGCAGAACCTTTGAATTTGGAGCAAAACTCTGTTTTCCTCTGCAGTTAAATATTCTTCTTCTGAGAAGCACCTTTTGACTTGCTGTAGGCCATACTAGAGACTGAATACTTAACCATGAGCCACCATGTTATCATGCTTCTTGAGCTACCCATCATAAACTAAATGTTACATGACCATCTAAGCCATAAATTTGGGCATGCACAGCAGTGCTCCATTATCAAATAAAAGTAATATATATGGAACTATGCTTTAATAGATGTTAAAGGCACACATAATTTGCATGAAGAAGTGGACCAAATATCTGTGGTTCCTATGCTTGCTACATTATCTTACCTCTCACATGCTATGTTATGGCCTTGTGGGGAATTTTCTACAACCAGTTGACTGAGGAAGAAAAAATTCTGACCTTGTTTAAAGATGATTCTACACAACATGCAAGCATCACCTAGAGTGGACATCTACAGCATTATAGACCTTTTCTGAGATAATCCTGAAAACTCGTAGCAAAGATAAATCCTCTCAGCAGAAAGAACTCAGTGCACCTGGATGTTCATTTTGCTCATAAGTAGAAGCGGTAAGTGGGACATAGGTATACTTGTTCATTTGCTATAGCCAATGGTTTCGATATATGGCAACGTACTCAGAAAAATACAGTTGGACAATTGGTAGAAAAAAGATGTGTGGAAAAATTATCTGGATATAACTCTCTGAATGGATAAAGAATACGATGATATTTGTGTCCTATTGAAATACTCACCTACGTGTGACCTTAGTGGGAGAGGATTTTAATAATCAAGTGGATAGGATGACGAGTTATGTGGATACCAGCTTATTTCAACAGCCATGCCTGTTATTGCAAAATGGGTTCATGAACAAAGTGGCCATGGTGGCAGGGATGGAGGTAGTGCATGATCTCCACAGAGTGCATTTCCACCTGCCAAGGCTGACCCGGCTGGACCTACTGCTGAGTTCTCAAAACACCAACAGCAGAGTCCAATACTTGAGTACCTGATATGGCACCTTTACCCAGGTGATCAGCCAGCTACCAGATGGCAGTTTTATTATTTTGGATGACTTTCATTATGGATGGGGAAGCACTTTCTTCTTATCACAGTGGACAGTTGCTGTGATATGGATTTGCTCTCCATGCATGCAATACTTCTGCTAAAATTATCATCTGTGGATTTACCTTATCTACTGTCTGTTATTCTACACAGAATTGCTTCTGATAAAGTGACTGATGTAAATAGCAAAATTAAGTAGAGCAATGAGACTATGCTTATAAAATTTATGGTTCTTCTCATGTTCTCCATTATCCTAAATCAAGTAATCAGATGGATCTTTACCTTTGAAGCCTCAGTTTCATCACCAGCTAGGTAACAAAATCTTGCAAGCCTGGAGTTATGGTCTTCAGGAAGCTGAAGGTGCTTTAAATTAGTATTCTGGCTATTTCTTCCATAGCCAGGATTTAAGAATCTAATAATCAAGGGGTGAAAATGGAAGTAGAACCGTTTACTATTACCTCTAGTGATTCAGTAGCAAAATTTTTGCCTCCATCTCTGCAACCTTAGGCTTTGCTGGTCTGGAAGTCTTAGTTCCAAAGGGAGGAATGATTCCAGTGGGGACATGATAATGATTCAATTAACCTGGAAGTTGAAACTTCCACCCAGCCATTTTGAGCAAATTTTGTCTCTGAATCAACAGGCAAAGAAGCAAGTTACTGTACTGACTGAGGTGACTGATTCTGATTACAAAGGGAAAATTGAGTTATTACTATAAAATGGAGGTTAAAAAAATATGTGGAGGTAAGAAATAGCATGTAAGGCTTACAAGAGATTCCTTAGGGAGAGGCTGTTAGTACTATCGTGTCCTGTGAGAAAAATAAGTTAAAAAAATACAGCAACTAAATTCAGATAGAACTGTGAATGGCCTAGAACATTCAGAAATAAAAGTTTGAGTTACCCAAACAGGAAAAAAAAACATAGCAAGATGGAGTTCTTGCTGAGGAAAAGGGAAGTATAGAATGGACAGTGGAAAGAGATAGTTAAAAATACCAGCTACAAGGATGTCAGCAAGATGGTGGACTAGAATGTCCCAGCCCTCATCCCTCCACAGAAATGATGAATTGGGAACTATCCACAAAAGAAAATATCTCTGGGAGGGATCTGGGGTACAATTAAGAAGCTGCAATAACCCAGGAAGGAACAAAGACCAAGGGTGGCTACATTAAAAACGGTAGTCAGCGTTTTAACCACTGTAATCCTTTGCCGTAGGCAGGCACAGCTCGGCACCAAGGTAAATCCCCTCCATCGTAGCTGCCTGCTACCCACCGCAAAAGAAAACAAGAACAGGAGACCCCAGAAGCCCTCACATCCACCAAGGTCCCCTATGGCTTTTGCTACAGAAGATCTGTGTAGTCTTCACCAACATGAAGCCCAGCTGCCAGAGCTGTCCTGAGCCAATAAATACATGTCTTCCAGGTATTACATGTACATCTTTAATATATTTTGAGTTGATTTTTGTGCATGTGGGAAGACAAGGATCCACTTTTATTCAACATGTGGCTATCCACTTTGCCCAAAATCATTTATTGAAAATACTGTTTTTTCCTCATGTGTGTTCTTGGCACTTTGGCAAATATCAGTTGACTATGGATGTGTGAATTTATTTCTGGGCTCTCAATTCTATTCTATTTCTCTATGTCTGTTTTTGTGCCAGTACCATACTGTTTTGATTAACATAACTTTGTAGTTGATTTTGAGATCAGTTAATGTGCCACCTCTAGATGTGTTCTTTGTCCTCCATATTGCTTTTACTATTAGGGTTTTTTGTAGTTTTATAATTATTTTTTTTCTGTGAAATATTTCATTGGAATTTTGATAGAGATTGCATTGAGTTTGTAGATCTCTTTGAGTTGTATGTATATTTTAGTAATATTAGTTACTCCAAATTATAAACATGGAATATTATTCCATTTATTTGTGTCATCTTTAATTTGTTTCATCAATATTTTATTATTTCTATGTACCTATCTTTCACCTCCTTGGTTAAATTTCTTCCCAAGTAGTTTTGGATACATTTTTGTTAGTGTGTGAAAACACTACTGACTTTGTATGTTCATTTTGTAGCTTACATCTTTAGTCAATAGGTCAATTGGTTTAGTAGTTCTAACAGTCTTTTTTTAGGGGTGGGGGTACTTAGGGTTTTCTATAAAAAAGACTATGTGGTTTGCAAATAGGGACACATTAACATTTTTTCCTTATGATTTGAATTACAATTCTTTTTTGTGTGCCTGATTTCTCTGGGTAGGACTTACAGTACTATACTGAATAGAAGTGTGGAGAGTGGGCATCCTTGAGGAAATGTTTTCAGCTTTTTACCATTGAGTTGAGTTAGTTGTGGGCTTATGACAGATGGATTTTATTGAACTGAGGTACATTCCTCTGTACCTAATTTGTTTAAAGTTTTTTATTTTATCACAAAAGGTTGTTGAATTTAGTCTAATGATTATTTAAAATATATTTAGGTAATAACATGTTTTTTGCTCTTCATTCCGTTAATGTGATGTGTCACATTCATGAATTTTGCATATGGTGAATTATCCTTGTGTCACAGGGATAAATCCTACTTGATTATGGTGTGTGATTATTTTAATGTGCTATTCAATTTTATTTGCTAGTATTTTGTTGAGAATTTTTGCATCTATGTTCATTGGAGATATAGGCCTGAATCTTTCTATTATTGTAGTGTCCTTGCCTGGCTTTGCTATGAGGGTAATGCTGGCCTCTGTCTTATTCCATTTTCTGTTGCTCATAAGACAATACCTAAAACTGGGTAAAGAAAAGACATTTATTTCTTATAGGTAGGGAGGCTGACAATTCCAAGGTCAAGAGTACATATTTTGTGAGGGCCTTCTCACTGGCAGAGACTCTGCAGAGTCCTATGGTGATATAGGGCATCACATAGTGAGGGGGATGAGCATGCTAGCTTAGGTCTCTTTTTCTCTTCTTTAAATCTACTAGATTCACTCCCATAATAACCCACTAGTCTATTAACCAATTAATCCATTAAACCATGAATAAGTTAATGCATTCATGAGGACAAAGCCCTTATAAGTGAATCACCTCCTGAAGACCCCTACCTCTCAATATTGTCACATTTGGGGTTACATTTCAACATGAGTTTTGGAGGGCACACATATTCAAACTATACCATTATGCTTCTGGCTTCTCAAAACTCATGCCCTTCTTAAATACACGTATCTTCATTCCACCTTCAAAGCCCCAAAGTCTTTTTTAAACTTTTTAAACATTTTTATTTTTATTTTTTTTGTACATGAATAAGTTCTTTAGTGGTGATTTCTGAGATTTTGGTGGACTCATCACTTCAGCAGTGTATACTGCTCACAGTGTACACTGTACCCGATATGTAGTCTCACCGTACTCCCACCTTTTTCCCAAGTCCTGAAAATCCATTTTATCATTCTTATGCCTTTGCATCCTCATAACTTAGCTCCCACATATTAGTGAGAACATACGATGCTGGATTTCCATTCCTGATATACTTCAGTTAGAATAATGGTCTCCATTTTTATCCATGTTGCTGTGAATGCCGTTATTTCATTCCTTTTATGGCTGAGTAGTATTCCATGGTGTGTGTATATATATACCATATTTTCTTTATCTACTTGTTGATTGATGGACATTTGGGCTGGTTCCATATTTTTTAATTGCAAATTGTGCTGCTATATACATGCTTGTGCAAGTATCTTTTTGGTATAATGACTTCTTTTCCTCTGGGTAGATACCCAGGAGTAGGATTGCTGGATCAAATTGTAAATCTACTTTTAGTCCTTTAAGGAATCTTGACACCGTTTTTCATCGTAGTTGTACTAGTTTAGTTTATATTTCCACTAACAGAGTAAAAGTTTTCCCTTTTTACCACATCCACGCCAACATCTATTTATTTTGATTTATATTTTTGATTATGGCCATTTTTACAGGAGTAAGTTGGTATTGCATTGTGGTTTTGATTTGCATTGCCCTAATAATTAGTGATGTTGACTATTTTTTCATATGTTTGTTGGCCTTTTATGCATCTTCTTTTGAGAATTGTCTATTCATGTACTTAGCCCAATTTTTGATGAGATTTCTTGTTTTTCTCTTGCTGATTTGTTTGAATTCCTTATAAAATCTGGATATTAGTCCTTTCCTGGAAGTATAGATTGCAAAGATTTTCTCCCAGTCTGTGGGTTGTTGGTTTGCTATGCTGATTATTTCTTTTCTGTGCAGAAGCTTTTTAGTTTAATTAAGTTCCCTCTATTTATCTTTGTTTTTGTTGCATTTGCTTTGGGTCATGAAGTCTGCATAAACCAATGTCTAGAAGGGATTTTCCAATGTTATCTTCTAGAATTTTTAAGGTTTCTGGTCTTAGATTTATGTCTTTGATCCATCTTGAGTTGATTTTTGTATAAGGTGAGAGATGAGAATCCAGTTTCATTCTCCTACATGTCGCTTGCCAATTATACCAGCACCATTTGTTTAATAGGGTGTCCTTTACCCACTCTATGTTTTTGTTTGCTTTGTTGAAGATCATTTGGCTGTATTTGGCTTTATTTCTTGGTTTTCTATTCTGTTCCATTGGTCTATGCACCTGTTTTTATGCCAGTACCATGCTGTTTTGGTGACTACATATAGTTTGAAGTTGGGTAATGTGATGCCTCCAGATTTGTTCTTTCTGCTTAGTCTTGCTTTGGCGATATGAGCTCTTTTTTGGTTCCATATGAATTTTTTAAGATTTTTTTTCTAATTTTATGAAGAATGATGGTGATATTTTGATGGGAATCACACTGAATTTGTAGATTGCTTTTGGCAGTATGGTCATTATCACAATATTGATCCTACCCATCTATGAGCGTGGGATGTGTTTCCATTTGTTTGTGTCATCTATGATTTCTCTTAGCAGTGTTCTGTAGTTTTCTTTGTAGAATTCTTTCATCTCCTTGGTTAGATATATTCCTAAGTATGTTTATTTGCAACTATTGTTAAACAGGTTGAGTTCTTGATCTGATTTTCAGCTTGGTCGCTGTTTGGTGTACAGCAGAGCTGCTGATTCGTGTGCATTAATTTTGTATTCTGAAACTTCTCTGAATTCATTTACCAGTTCTAGGAGCTTTGTGGATGAGTCTTTAAGGTTTTCTAAATACACAACCATGTCATCAGCAACAGTGACAGTCTGACTTCCTCTTTATCAATTTGAATGTCCTTTATTTCTTTCTCTTGTCTGATTGCCCTGGATAGGACTTCCAGTACTATGTTGAATAAAAATGGTGAAAGTGGGCATCCTTGTCATGTTCCAGTTCTCGGGGGGAATGCTTACAACTTTTCCCCATTCAGTAACATGTTGGCTATGTGTTTGTCATTGATGGCAAAACCTCAAATCTTAACTTGTTCCAGCACCAAGGCAAAAGTCCAAAGTCCAGAGTCTCAGCTGTGAGTCTGTGAAATCAAAACACATTATATATATTCAAGACACAATGGTGCTACAGACATGAAACACGTGATACAGACATGAAATCTGCAAGATGTAAAATAACTGAATGTCAACATCAATCAACAGGATGTAATAAAAATTTATAGAATATGTGTAACATTATGATATAAAAGAAATGTATATTTAGTCTTTGACCTGGGTTCTTGACACCAAACTTTTTCAACTCTTAGAATTCCCTGAGTGATAGAAGTGAAAAGAATGTCATTGTTATTCATAATAAGCCATTTTCAACCATACCTGAGTTTATGCTGATAAAGTGACTTGTGATGGTCCCCTCAATCCTTTAGAATGGGAGTAAGTAGCAGAGGAACCAATCATGTGATTAGAGAGTTAAAACTTTCAGCCTCACTTTTAGCCCTTCAGGGAGGGGAGAGGGGCTGAAGATTGAGTTTAATTACCAATGGTCAACGAATTAATCAATCATGCCTACATAATGTAACCTATGTAAAAAAATCTAAGCAGTGGGCTTTGAAGAGCTTCCAGGTTGGCAAATGTATCTACATGCCAGGGTAGTAACACTCCCCAAACTCCATGGGGACAGAAACTCTTTCACTTAGAACCCTTCCAGAACTTTCCTTATTTATCTGTTTATCTGGCTATTCTTGCATACACTTTATAATATCCTTTATAATATACCAGTAAATGTAAGTAAAATGTTTCCCTGAGTTCTGTGAGCCATTGTAGCAAATTATCAAATATAACAAGGGCTGTGGGAACCCCCAATCTTTAGCCAAATATATAGTGTGAGTAGCCTGGGGACCCACTACTTGAGATTAGCATCTGAAGTGGGAGGTAGATCTGTGGAACTGACACCCTAACTGGTGAGGTCTCCACTAAGTGGAGTAGTGTCAAAATTAAATTAAATTGTAGGACACCCAGTTGGTTTCTCTAGAGAGTTAAAGAATTGCTTATTGCAGAAAACCCACACATTTGGTGTCAGAAATGTTAGTAATAAAACAGTGTTCCTTTAATATGTCATTCAGCAAGGGCAAAATACACACACTTTGCAAGCAAATATTAAACATTCAGGAAGATAGTAAATATCCTGGATTACAAAACAATTTTAACAATGTTTTAAAAACTAAAATTATACAGAGTATGTTCTCTCACCATAATGGAGTCGAGCTACAAATCAAGCTAGGAATTAAACAAATAATCAGTTGCAAATTAGAAATCAAGCTAGAAGTAAACAGAAACTTTTCCAAACTATTGGAAATTAAGCAGCATATTTTTAATTATTTTATGAATCAACTCTCAAGGGAAAAAAATTACATATTGAATTAAATGAAACTGAAAATACAACATATCAAAATTAGTGAGGTATAGCTAAAAGACTGCCTAGAGAGAAATTGAGATCATTAAATGCTTATATTAGAAAAGAATACAGGTCTCAATCAATAATATAAGCTTTCACCTCACAGAACTAAAAAATAGAGCAAAAAGGCAAACAGAAGGAATAAAACAATAAAAATCAGAAATCAATAAAATTGGACAGAAAAACAATTGAGAAAATTAATCAAACCCAAAGCACAGCTCTCTGAAAAGATATAAAATATTGATAAACCTTAAGCAATACAAACAAATAAGAGATAAAACACATATTTGCCAGTATAAGAAATAAAAGAAAGAATGCCAGTAGAGATCATGCAAACATAACAAATCTAATAAGGTAATACTATGAATGATTCTATAGACATAAATTTAACAACTTAGATGAATGGACCAATTTCTTAAAAACGGCAAATGACCAAACCCACCTAAGAAAAAATAGATAATCTAAATAGTTCTATAACTATTAAATGAATTGAATTTATAAAATTTGAAAAATTATAAAGCATAAAACTTCAAGTGCAGATGATCCCAAAAATAAATTATATCAAACATTTAATAAAGAACAACACTAATTATACACAATAACTTTCAGAAGACAATAGTTTCCAAATCATTTTATGGGGCCAACATTTCCCTGTTACTAAAATCAGAAAAAGGCAATACAAAAGGAAAACATTAAAAACTACAGACCAATATGTCTCAGAAATATATTTTCAAAAATCCTCAATTAAATATTTATGAAATTGATTTAGCAATGTATAAAGAATTACAAAACATGACCTACTGAGATTTATTCCATTAATACAAGGCTGGTTCAACATTTTAAAATAAAACAATGTAACTCAATGTATTAACACACTAAAGCAGACAGAAGAAAATATCAACTAATGCAGAAAAAGTATTGACAAAATCTAACACACATTCAGTTTACACCCCTCAGCAAACTATGAATAGAGAACTGCCTCAACTTGATAGTGAATGTCTTTTAAAAACCTATAGTTCACATCATGTTTAATAGTAAAGGCATTTTTTCTAAAATCAGTCATAAAGTAATGATTTTTACTTCAGTCCTTTTATTCAAAATACTATTGGAAGTTTGAGCCAGTGCAATAAGGCAAGACAAAAAAATTAAGGGCAGATTGAGAAGGAAAAATTAAACTATTCTTATTATCAGAGAACATGGCTATATACCTGTAGAAAATATCAAGAAATATACCACCCAAAATTCTTAGAAATAACACGTTTTTAGCAAAGTTGCATATTAAGACAACAAATAATTTTATGTTTATGTAGTAGCAATAAACACATGGAAACTGAAATTAAACACACAATATTATTCACAATAGTCCCCAAAATGAAGAAGGAATATTTATGTATAAATGTAACAAAACATGTACAGAAACTGTATGTTGAAAATTACTAAATGTTGATTTTTAAAAATCAAAGACTTGTCACAAGAGGTCAGCAAGATGGCAGAATAGAAGGCTCCACCAATCATCCTATCCACAAGGACACCAATTTAACAACCATATACACAGAAAAAAAAGCACCTTCATAAGAACCAAATATCAGGTGAGCCTTCATAATACCTGGTTTTAACTACAAATCTCTGAAAGTGACACTAAATAGATAGAAAAAAGTCTTGAATCACCAATGCCATCCCTCCCTGAAACCTCAGCAGCAACAGCATTGTGTAGAGAGCCTCTCTGGGTTCCTAAGGAGGAAGAACCCAGCAATCATAAGGCATTGAACTCAGTGCTGTCCTGTTAGAGAAGAAAGGAAAACCAAACTAAACTCAGCTAAAGACTGTACATGGAGGGAGCATTTAAACCCATCCTAGCCAGAGGGGAATTGCTGATCCCAGTGGTCAGAACTTGCATAGGCCCTAAAACCCCTTTGTTTTGGCCAATTTCTCTCATTTGGAATGGCTATATTTATGCAATACCTGTACACCCATGGTATCTAGGAAATAACTAGCTTGCTTTTGAGATGACAGGCTCATAGGCAAAAGAGAACGCCTTGTCTCAGATGAGACTTTGGACTGTGGACTTCTGAGTTAAGACTTTGGGGACTGTTGGGAAGGCATGATTGGTTTTGAAATGTGAGAACATGAGATTTGGAGGGGCTGGTGACAGAGTGATATGGTTTGGCTGTGTCCGCGCCCAAATCTCAACTTGAATTGTAACTCCCAGAATTACCATGTATTGTGGGATGGACCTAGGGGGTGGTAATTGAATCATGGGGGCTGGTCTTTCCCATGCTATTCTCGTGATAGTGAATGTCTTACGAGATCTGATAGGTTTAACAGGGGTTTCTGCTTTTGCCTTCTCCTCATTTTCTCTTGCCACCACAGTGTAAGAAGTGCCTTTCACTTTCCGCCATGATTTTGAGGCCTCCTCAGCCATGTGAAACTGTAAGTCCAATTGAACCTCTTTTTCCTCCCAGTCTTGGGTATGTCTTTATCAGCCATGTGAAAATGGATTAATACAAGAAGCAAGAGACAATCACCCTCTGAAGCCAGCAGAAGGTGAGAAATAACGAAAATTAGAGCTGAACTGAAGGAAACCAAGACACATAAAACCATTCAAAAGATAAACAGATGCAGGATTTGATTTTTTGAAAAAATTAATAAGATAGGCAACCAACTAAACCAATAAAGAAGAAAAGAGAGAAGATACAAATAAACACAATTAGAAATGACAAAAGAAATGCTACCACTGACCCCACAGAAATAAAAATAATTATCAAAACTACTATGAACAACTCTATGCACATAAAAGAGAAAACCCAGAAGATATGAATACACATCTAGACACATAACCCCTTTCAACATTGAACCAGGAAGAAATTGATTCCCTGAATAGACCAATAATAAGCTCAAAAATTGAATCATTAATAAATAGCCTAACAATAACAACAACAACAAAAAGGCTTGAGACCTGATGGATTCACAGCTGAATTTTACCAGATATACAATGAAGATCCGGTCCCATTCCTGCAGAAACTATTCCAAAAATTGAGGATGAGGCACTCCTCCGAAACTCATTCTATTAAGGCCTGCATCATCCAGATACCAAAACCTGTCCAAGAATCACACACAAATAAAAAATGTTAGGCCAATACCTTTGATGAACATCAATGCAAAAATCTTCAACAAAATACTTGCTAACCCAATCCAGCAGCACATCATACAGCTAATCCACCATGATTAAATAGGCTTCAGCCCTGGAATGAAAGGTTGGTTCAACATAAACAAATTAATTAATGTGATTCATCACATAAACAAAACTAAAGACAGAAAACACGTGATTTTCTCACTAGATGCAGAAAGTGTTTTCAATAAAATCCAACATCCTTTCATGTTAAAAACTATCTAAGTTCCTTCAACTAACTATTGAAGGAATACACCTCAAAATAATAAGAGCCATCTATGACAAATCCACAACCAACATTATACTGAATGGGCAAAACCTGGAAGCATTCTCCTTGAAAACTGGCATGAAACGAGAATGAACCCTCTCACTGCTTCTATTCAACATAATATTGGAAATCCTAGCCAGAGCAATCAGGCAAAAAAAAAAAAAAAAAAAAAAAAGGGCAAAATAAACCAAAAAGAAGAAGAAATAATGTGCATCCAAATAGCAAAAGAGAAATTCAAACTATCCCTGTTTGCAGATGACATGATTCTACATCTAAAAAACCTCATAGTCTTGGCCAAAAAGCTCCTCAAACTAATAAACAACTCCAGCATAGATGCAAAATACAAAATCAAAGTTCAAAAAATCACCAGGATTCCTGTACACCAACAGCAGCCAAACTGAGAGGCAAATCATAATGACAATCCCATTCACAATTGCTTCAAAAAAATATCTAGGAATACAGCTAATCAGGGAGATGGAAGATCTCCACAGTGAGAATTACAAAACACTGCTCAAAGAAATCAAAGAAGACACAAATAAATGAAAAAACATCTCATGCTCATTGATAGGAAGAATCAGTATCATTAAAATGCTTATACTGCCAAAAGTAATTTACAGATTCAGTGCTACTCCTATCAAACTACAAATGACATTCTTCACAGAACAAGAAGAAAACTTTTTAAAAATTCATACAGAACAAAAAAAGAGCCTGAATGGCCAAGGCAATCCTCAGCAAAAAGAACAAAGCTGGAGGCATAATGTTACCAGACTTCAAACTATACTACAAGGCTGCAGTAACCAAAACAGCATAGTACTTGTACAAAACAGGTACATAGACCAATGGAACAGAATAGAGAGCCCAGAAAAAGGCTGCTCATCTATGACCATTTGATCTTTGACAAAGCTGACAAAAATAAGCAATGGTGAAATGACTGCCTATTCAATAAATGTTGCTGGGATAACTGGCTAGCTATATACAGAAGATTGAAGCTGGACCTCTTTCTTACATCATACACACAAATAAATTTAAGATGCATTAAAAACTTAAATGTAAAACTGAAAGTGTAAAATCCCTAAAAGACAACGTAGTCAATATAATCCTGGACATAGGAACAGGCAAAGATTTTATGACAAAGACAACAAAAGCAATTGCAACAAAAGTATAAGTTGACAAGTAGGATCTAATTAAACTTAAGAGTTTCTGCACAGCTAAAGAAAGTATCAACAGTGTAAACAGACAACCTACAGAATGGGAAAAAATATATTCAAACTATGCATCTGACAAAGGTCTAATATCCAGCATTTATAAGAAACTTAAATTTACTAGAGGAAAACAAACAACTCAATTAAAAGTGGGCAAAGGACGTAAACAGACACTTCTCAAAAGAAGACATGCATGTGGCCAACAAGCATATGATAAAAAGCTCAATATCACTGATCACTAGAGAAATACAAATCAAAACCACAATGAGATACCATCTCACACTAGTCAGAATAACTACAATGAAAAAAATAAAAAATATTAGATGCTGGCAAGGTTGTAGAGAAAAAGGAACACTTATACACTGTTGGTGGGATGGTGAACTAGTTCAACCATTGTGGAAAGCAGTGTGGCGATTCCTCAAAGAGCTGAAAGCAGGACAACCATTTGACCCAGCAATCCTATTACTGGGTATATACCCAGGGGAATATAAGTCATTTTACAATAAAGACGCATGCACACAAATGTTCACCTCAGCAGTATTCACAATAGTAATGACATGGAATCAACCTAAATGACCATCAATAACAGATTGGATAAAGATAATGAGGTACATATACACAGCAGAATAAATGCAGGTATTAAAAAAAAGCCAAGATTATGTATTTCGCAGGAACATGGATGGATCAGGTGGCTACTTTCCTTAGCAAACTAATGCAAGAACAGAAAACCAAATACCGCATGTTCTTACTTACAAGTGGAAGCTAAATGATGAGAACTTACGAACACAAAGAAGGTAACAACAGACACTGGATCTACTTGAGAAAGGAAGATGAGTGGAGAGAGGGGAGCAGAAAAGGCAACTATTGGGTACTGGGCTTAATACCTATGTGATGAAATAACACGTACAAACCCCCATGACACATGTTAACCTATGTAACAAACCTTCACAAGTTCCCCCAACCTAAAATAAAAGTTAAAAAATGGTGTTCAGCACCATCGAATATCAGAGAAATTCAAATAAAATCTACAGTAAGATATTGTCTCATCCCAGTTAAAATGGCTTATATCAAAAAGACACACAATGACAAATGTTGGTGAGAATATGGTGAAAATGAACCCTTGTACACTGTTGTGTACAACCCTTATAAAGAACAGTTTGGAGCTTCCTAAAAAAAAAAATGAGAAATTGAGGTCCCATGTGATCCAGCAATCCCACTGTTTGATGTGTACCCAAAAGAGAGAAAATCAGTGTATTAAAGACATATCTGTGCTCTCATGTTTTTTCCAGCATTGTTCACAGTAGCAATATTTGGAAGCAACCTAAATGTCCGTCAACAGATGAATGGATAAAGAAAATGCAGTACATATACACAGCGGAGTACTATTTATCCACAAAATAATTGAGATCCTGTCGTTTGCAACAACAGGGATGGAACTGGAGATTATTGTTAGGTGAGATAGGCCAGGCACAGAAAGACAAACATTGCATGTTATCAGTTATTTGTGGAATCTAAAAATAAAAACAATTAATCTCACAGACAGAGAGTAAAATATGGTTACCCAAGTTTGAGAAGGGTGGTGGGAGGTTGGAGTGTAGGTGGGATGGTTAATGGGTACAAAAGATAGCTAGAAAGAATTAATAAGACCTACTATTTCATAACAAAGAAGGATGACTATAGTCAATAATAACTTAATTGTACATTTTATAATAACAAAAAGAGTGCAATTTGATTGTAACACAAAGGATAAGTGGTTGAGGGGATGGATACCTCATTTTTAATGATTTGATTATTTCACTGTGCACGTCTGTATCAAAATATCTCATATACCCCATAAATATATACACCTACTATGTACCCATAAAATGTAAAGATGTAAAATGAAAAAAGTAAAAATAATATAAAAAATTAAAGACCTAAATAAATTGAATGATATAACATGTTCATCAGTTAGAAGAATCAATGAAGTAAAGATTCAAATTCTCCTCAAATTAATTGTTTTAACACCATTTATATAAAAATCCTTGCAGTTATTTTTTTTAGATATAAACAAGCTTATTCCAAAATCTATGTGAACATTACAGAGATGAAATGATGGTTCAACATATGCAAATCAATATATGTGATATATTACATACATAGAATTAAGGATAAAAATCATGTGATCACCTCAATAGATGCAGAAAAAAAGCATTTGATGAAGTTCAGCATTTTTTGGTAAAAATTATCAACAAGCTGGCTATAGAAGGAACTCATCGTAAAATAGTAAAGGCCATATATCAGAAATTCACAGACAGGACTAGAAGACACATCAGGTAGGGGTTTATTTTCTCAGCCTCCAAACAGTACACGTAAGCAGTTGCCAGTTTGTAAGTCTAATTCTGGTGATATGTTATTGTTTTACACCCCCATGAAGCTACAGACAAATATGTTTTTTCAATCTTGAACAACAATTTTGACCAAGTGGAAAAACCTGTTTCTCTCAAGTGATTTTTTTTTTTTTTCAGCCTTCTATGACACCCACATGCGCAGCTGCATAAAGCAAGACATCAACATAGAGTCAGCAAACAGCAACCTCTCCCTTTCCCCAAGGACTCTAAAATTCATCAAATTTCAAGCCTCTATTAAGCACCAGCTTTGGGCTAAACTTTGCTGTTAGGGATACATAGATAATTAATTTCCCCCTCCCCCAACCCAGTCTTAGTAACTGGTAAGATAACCAGTCTTCTTCTCAGTAACTTGCTTGGTGGGTGGGGAAGAGGAACCAATTAGGAAGAAGAAAACTCCAACTCGAGCATTCAAGTCAGCGAGGAGATCTTTCTTCACAATCATGCCAAAACTGAGTTTCTGAGGAAGGTCAGTCCAAGAAGTATTGCTGACCTCAGCTCTTCTGAAGATTCCCAGAACCATGCAGCTGCTTAGCCTGTCTGGGCTTCAATACTATCTCGAGTCTCAGTCACTTTGGAACTACTTCAATAGAGGAAAAACCCCACCTATACTTGTGGTCAGAGAAATTAGGAAAAACCAATTTCAATATTCAACATTATGATGCAACTTGGCAACTGTAATAAACAGAGAGTGCCATCCTGTGTCATGCTCATGTAGTCTGCAGTTTTTAGTTACATTTTGTTTCTTAGGAAAAAAGCTAGTAGTGCTATAAAGTCTTTACCCTGGTATTTTAAGAAAGAAAACTTCATTGAGAAACCTTTTACTAAAAGAGAATTTAGTATCTCCAACTCTTTAATCCGGGGAAATTCAGAATATACAAAATACACTGACTTGCTCCTGTCATGAGAATGTAATGGCATGAGTAAGTCTCACTGATATCTTGGTATGGCTTGTATTAATTTCTCTAAGATTATATATAATTGTACATATTGTGAATAATCGTACATACTTTAGAATCAAACTTCAACTGTAAAATAAGCAGACATAAAAATAACAACTATTTTATTATTTAGAGTGAGGAAAATGAAAGCAATTCCTTTTTAAAAAGACAGCAAAACACTTGGAGCCCTTTCTAAGATGTTTCTCATGTTCTCAAATTAGAAATATATATCCAAAGAAATATCCCTTATAAATGGGGAATCAACCCCACTGAGATTTAACAGCTGTGCTAGTTTCTAGGACTTGATGAAAATCCTTTTGTGATATTTGAAGCCATCATATCTTACCCAAGAATGCACACGTGGGAAATGTCCCAAACCAAGAAAATATGTAAAGTCTCATCTTATGAAAGTATTTAGACATTTAAATGTATTTGCTACTTGAATGCTGCTTAATTTGGTTGACAGAAATCATATATTTAAAATTTTAAGCCTTCCCCCATAGCTCACAAAACAGATGTTCGTTTAATAAACCACAATCTTATTTTTACATAGAATTGTTAGGAGCAGTGTTTAATATAAGTGTGGACACCTGGTTTTTGTCAATGTCATTTTAAATCATTAGAGAAAGGAGCTTTCTATCCAGACAGCCACATTTCCTTTCACAAAGCTTGCAGCAGTTTCAGTGAACATTTTAACCACTTAAACTTACAGTAAATATTTCCTCATTGGAGTCTCCATTCTTCATAACAAAATATCCCCACAAAGGTAAGACATTAGTAGATTCAGGGTGACATTTTAAGTGGAAGCAGCAGAAACATACATTGACCAACTCACAGAGATTAAGTTCTATTTTTGTACTTATGAAAAGAAAGCCAAGAACCTTACCCTTTCCACTCAGATATCCTGTAAAGAACAGCAGGCTTGTATGGTTGCAAGAGGAAGTAACATAGTTTATACAGTAAAACAGGAAAAAAAATTGTATCTATAATAGATGGTAGAATTGTTTGTCAGCATCACTTAGTTGTTTAGGAAAGCATTCCCATCAGAGGATATCGAGGAGAAAGAAAATTCAAATTTTGGCTTAGATAAATTCAGTTTCCATGATTTGTACACTTCTTCAATCAGGAGCAGGTTGTCTCACTTTAATTTGCCACATATCACTACAGTTTTCTCAGCCTCTTCTGAAAGTTTGAAGTGTGGGCTTATGCAAAAACCCACCTTAACCGTTAGAATTTTACTTTGCCAATTTAGAAAGGAGTTGTAATATATTTAAAATGATCATCATGTTTTAATAGAGTAATAAATATTGCTTTTTACACTGATTCCCCATTGTCCATTGTGTTTTGTTTCTTACCATGATTTCTTTCTGCTTCAGTCTTGCAAAAGCATCTACTTCCTGAGGAAATTTATTTGTAGTACTCTGAAGGCCATCAGGTGGCTATTGCATAGCTTACTAAACTTACAGAAGATATTCTGCTTCCAGACCTCATTCGATCTTATGGATGCAAAGGCTTCTGTTTCTAACTAATAAGATGAAAGGCCATGAGTCTACTATAGTGCTTGGAAAGAGAATGTGTCAAAAATGCACTGAGCTTCCTGCTCCTCCTGTGTACACACCCATCTATTATCATCTTTCTTTTTCCTTTCTGTGTGTAGGCATGCCTATGCATGAGTCAAATATGATTTTTAGGCTAATTGTATAATGTAAATGTTTTCAGCCTATATTGAAGTGTTTAGGCTACATTGCTGTGCTCAGCTATATTGTCTGTTTCAGGTGTTAAAGGGTGGTATAAGAGGAATCTCTTTAGGAATGAGAGCAAACCTTATTAGGTCATTAAAATGGAATAATTTGGAGTTACCAAAAAGACTGTGCTTAACAATGTGTGCCATAGAAAAGCTAAAATTATTTTCAGACACTCTTTTGGGTTAAGAATTACTTCTTCATATACTTGTATTAGCAAATGCTAATTTCCTCACATTAATTCTTTAATACCATATTGGAAATGTGTTTTGGGGATAACTTGGGCATGGGTAGAAGTAAAATGCCAAAAATGGAAAAAATTGCTCAGAAAGAGTGGTAAAGATTTCGTAAGAGACAGCTGAAACATGATCTAATCTATAGATTTATTTTATCCTCTCCTATTTACTCACTTCTAGAACAAATGTTTTCTAAGCCTAAGCACTCTGGTAGGTGCTTGGTATTGGTAGATGAATAAAACATAGGCCCCAACTTCAATGAGTTTGCAGTTTAATTAGATTATTAACTGTCTACTTCACTAAAGTTCTTCTGTGATCTCCCTGATCTGGAGACCTCATTGACACAACATGAACCTATTTTGAGGAATGACTGAGTTTTGGGAGAGTCATATTAGGGTGTTCCAAACACTTGTCCACAATGCCTAAAATGTCAAAGGTTGACAGTCTAGCTCAACTGGAAACTTTAATTCCAATAAAAATGCCAACCACCTTGCCTATTATAGCATTTTAAATATTGATCTGTGAGCATCTTGAGAGTAGAAATTATATCTAATTAATATCCGTGTCTCTTGTTAAAACAAACTAAATATGGCCTGAGAAGGACTCCATACTTCTATATTTGTGTTCTTGTGGACAAACTGCAACTTAACTTAATAAGTAGACAAGATTAAAAACCTAACTTAGGAGTATGCACCTGCAACAAGAGCTGAGTCTTGGCCAATCCTAGCAGCCATATTTCAACCACTCATACACTGCTGAGTGTTCATACTGTGTCCAAATAAGGCAAACGCTGAGCTGTAACCAATCCAATTGTTTCTGTGCCTCACTTCTGGTTTGTTTACCTCACTTCCATTTTTTTTGTTTTTTGTTTTTTTTTTTTTGTCTATAAGTTTGTTCTTATAGACTCAAGGCATCCCTAGAGTCTCTCTGAATCTGCTGTCATTCTGGGGGCTGTCAAATTCATTAATCATTCATTGCTCAATTAAACTCCTTTAAATTTAATTCTGCTGAAGTTTTTTTTTTTTGTTTTTAACACCTTAAAGCCTAGTCCAGTGGATTATACAAAGCTAACACTCAGTAAATAATAAACGAATGATCAAATCACTCATATCACAGCAAAACTAAAAGACAAGTTTTGAATGTGGGAGAAAATAGCATGTGAACACCTTCAGAGAAGAAAGTGGGGAACAATTGAGAAGAGAAAGTCTGATTCTCCATTCCAAGATGGCCAAATAGGAACAGCTCTATTCTACAGCTCCCAGCGTGAGCGATACAGAAGATCGGTGATTTCTGCATTTGCAACTGATTTCTGCATTTCCAACTGAGGTACCAGGTTCATCTCACTGGGGCTCGTCAGACAGTGGGTACAGCCCACTGAGAGTGACCCAAAGCAGGGTGAAGCATCACCTCACCTGGGAAGTGCAAGTGGTCAGAGAATTCCCTTTCCTAGCCAAGGGAAGTGGTGACAGATGGCACCTGGAAAATTGGGTCACTCCCACCCTAATACTGCGCTTTTCCAATGATCTTAGCAAATGGCACACAAGGAGATTATATGCCGCACCTGACTCGGAGGGTCCCACATCCACAGAGCCTCACTCATTGCTAGCACAGCAGTCTGAGATAGAACTGCAAGGTGGCAGTGAGGCTGAGGGAGGGGTGCCCACCATTGCTGAGGCTTGAGTAGGTAAAAAAAGCAGCCAGGAAACTCGAAGTGGGCAGAGCCCACTGCAGCTCAAGGAGGCCTGCCTGCCTCTGTAGGCTCCACCTCTGGGGGCAGGGCATAGCCAAAAAGGCAGCAAAAACCTCTGCAGACTTAAATGTCCCTGTCTGACAGCTTTGAGGAGAGTAGTAGTTCTCCCAGCACGGAGTCTGAGATCTGAGAATGGACAGACTGCCTCCTCAAGTGGGTCCCTGACCCCTGAGTAGCCTATCTGAGAGGCACCCCCCAGTAGGGGCAGACTGACACTTCACATGGCTGGGTACCCCTCTGAGACAAAGCTTCCAGAGGAATGATCAGGCAGCAACATTTGCTGTTCAGCAATATTCATGTTCTTCAGCCTCCGCTGCTGATACCCAGGCAAACAGGGTCTGGAGTGCACCTCCAGCAAACTCCAACAGACCTGCAGCTGAGGGTCCTGACTGTTGGAAGGAAAACTAACAAACAAAAAGGACATCCACACTAAAACTCCATCTGTACGTCACCATAATCAAAGACCAAAGGTAGATAAAACCACAAAGGTGGGAAAAAAACAGAGCAGAAAAGCTGAAAATTCTAAAAATCAGAGCAGCTCTCTCCCTTGAAAGGAACACAGCTCCTTGCCAGCAACAGAACAAAGCTGGACAGAGAATGACTTTGATGAGTTGAGAGAAGAAGGCTTCAGATGATCAAACTACTCCGAGCTAAAGGAGGAAGTTCAAACCCAACGCAAAGAAGCTAAAAACCTTGAAAAAAGATTAGACGAATGGCCAACTAGAATAACCAGTGTAGAGAAGTCCTTAAATGACCCGATGGAGCTGAAAACCATGGCATGAGAACTACATGACGAATGCGCAAGCTTCAGTAGCCGATTCGATCAACTAGAAGAAAGGGTATCAGTGATTGAAGATAAAATGAATGAAATGAAGCAAGAAGTTTAGAGAAAAAAGAGTAAAAAGAAATGAACGAAGCCTCCAAGAAATATTGGACTATTTGAAAAGACCAAATCTACATCTGATTGGTGTACCTGAAATTGACGGGGAGAATGGAACCAAGTTAGAAAACACTCTTCAGGATATTCAGGAGAACTTCCCCAATCTAGCAAGGCAGGCCAACATTCAAATTCAGGAAATACAGAGAATGCCACAAAGATACTCCTTGAGAAGAGCAACTCCAAGACACATAATTGTCAGATTCACCAAAGTTGAAATGAAGGAAAAAATTTAAAGGGCAGCCAGAGAGAAAGGTCAGGTTACCCACAAAGGGAAGCCCATCAGACTAACAGCAGATCTCTTGGCAGAAACTCTACAAGCCAGAAGAGAGTGGGGGCCAATATTCAACATTCTTAAAGAAAAGAAGTTTCAACCCAGAATTTCATATCCAGCCAAACTAAGCTTCATAAGTGAAGGAGAAATAAAATACTTTACAGACAAGCAAATGCTGAGAGATTTTGTCACCACCAGGCCTGCCCTAAAAGAGCTCCTGAAGGAAGCACTAAACATGGAAAGGAAAAAAAGGTACCAGCCACGGCAAAAAGATGACAAATTGTAAAGACCATCGACGCTAGGAGGAAACAGCATCAACTAACGAGCAAAATAACCAGCTAACATCATAATGACAGGATCAAATTCACACATAACATCAACCTTAAATGTAAATGGACTAAATGCTCCAATTAAAAGACACAGGCTGGCAAATTGGATAAAGAGTCAAGACTTATCAGTGTGCTGTATTCAGGAGACCCATCTCACATCAAAGACACACATAGACTCAAAACAAAGGGATGGAGGAAGATCTACCAAGCAAATGGAAAACAAACAAAGGCAGGGGATGCAATCCTAGTTTCTGTTAAAGCAGATTTTAACCAAAAAAGATCAAAGGAGACAAAGAAGACCATTACATAATGGTAAAGGGATCAATTCAACAAGAAGAGCTAACTATCTTAAATATATATGCACCCAATACAGGAGTACCCAGATACATAAAGCAAGTCCTTAGAGATCTACAAAGAGACTTAGACTCCCACACAATAGTAATGGGAGACTTTAACACCCCACTGTCAATGTTAGACAGATCCACGAGACAGAAAGTTAACAAGGATATCCAGGAATTGAACTCAGCTCTGCACCAAGCGGACCTAATAGACATCTATAGAACTCTCCACCCCAAATCAACAGAATATACATTCTTCTCAATGCCATATCACACTTATTCCAAAATTGACTACATAGTTGGAAGTAAAGCACTCCTCAGCAAATGTAAAAAACAGAAATTATAACAAACTGTCTCTCAGACCACAGTGTTATCAAACTAGAACTCAGGATTAAGAAATTCACTCAAAACCGCTCAACTACATGGAAACTGAACAATCTGCTCCTGAAAGACTACTGAGTACATAACTAAATGAAGACAGAATTAAAGATGTTTTTTGAAACCAATGAGAACAAAGACACAGCATACCAGAATCTCTGGGACACATTCAAAGCAGTGTGTAGAGTGAAATTTATAGCAGTAAATGGCCACAAGAGAAAGCAGGAAAGATCTAAAATTGACACCCTAACATCACAATTAAAAGAACTAGAGAAGCAAGAGCAAACACATTCAAAAGCTAGCAGAAGGCAAGAAATAACAAAGATCAGAGCAGAACTGAAGGAGATAGAGACAAAAAAAACCCTTCAAAAAAATCAATGAATCCAGGAGCTGGTTTTTTGAAAAGATCAACAAAATTGATTGACCACTAGCAAGACTAATAAAGAAGAAAAGAGAGAAGAATCAAATAGATGCAATAAAAAATGATAAAGGGAATATCACCACTGATCCCACAGAAATACAAACTACCATCAGAGAATACTATAAACACCTCTACACAAATAAACTAGAAAATCTAGAAGAAATGGATAAATTCCTCAACACATACACTCTCCCAAGACTAAACCAGGAAGAAGTTGAATCCCTGAATAGACCAATAACAGGCTCTGAAATTGAGACAATAACTAATAGCCTACCAACCAAAAAAAGTCCAGGACCAGACAGATTCACAGCCGAATTCTACCAGACGTACAAGGAGGAGCTGGTACAATTACTTCGGAAACTATTCCAATCAAAAGGAAAAGAGGGAATCCCCCCTAAATCATTTTATGAGGCTGGCATCATCCTGATACCAAAGCCTGGAAGAGACACAACAAAAAAAAAAGAGAATTTTAGACCAATATCCCTCATGAACATTGATGCAAAAATCCTCAATAAGATACTGGCAAACCGAATCCAGCAGCACATCAAACAGCTTATCCACCATGATCAAGTGGGCTTCATCCCTGGGATGCAAGACTGGTTCAACATACACAAATCAATCAACGTAATCTAGCATATAAACGGACCAAAGACAAAAACCACATGATTATCTCAATAGATACAGAAAAGGCCTTTGACAAAATTCAACAGTCCTTCATGCTAAAAACTCTCAATAAATTAGGTATTGATGGGACGTATCTCAAAATAATAAGAGCTATTTATGACAAACCCACAGCCAATATCATACCAAATGGGCAAAAACTGGAAGCATTCCTTTTGAAAACTGGCACAAGACAGTGATGCCGTCTCTCACCACTCCTATTCAACATAGTGTTAGAAGTTCTGGTCAGGGCAATCAGGCAGGAGAAAGAAATAAGGGGTATTCAATTAGGAAAAGAGGAAGTCAAATTATCCCTGTTTGCAGATGACATGATTGTATATTTAGAAAACCCCATCTTCTCAGCCCAAAATCTCCTTAAGCTGATAAGCAACTTCAGCAATGTCTCAGGATACAAAATCAATGTGCAAAAATCACAAGCATTCTTATACATCAATAACAGACAAACAGAGAGCCAAATCATGAGTGAACTCCCATTCACAGTTGCTTCAAAGAGAGTAAAATACCTAGGAATCCAACTTACAAAGGATGTGAAGGGCCTCTTCAAGGAGAACTACAAACAACTGGTCAATGAAATAAGAGAGGACAAAAACAAATGGAAGAACATTCCATACTCATGGATAGGAAGAATCAATATTGTGAAAATGGCCATACTTCCCAAGGTAATTTATAGATTCAATGCCATCCCCATCAAGCTACCAATGACTTTCTTCACATAATTGGAAAAAAACTACTTTAAAGTTCATATGGAACCAAAAAAGAGCCCACATTGCCAAGACAACCCTAAGTCAAAAGAACAAACCTGGAGGCATCATGCTACCTGACTTCAAACTCTACTACAAAGCTACAGTAACCAAAACAGCACGGTACTGGTACCAAAACAGAGATATGGACCAATGGAACAGAACAGAGCTCTCAGAAATAATACCACACATCTACAACCATCTGATCTTTGTCAAACCTGACAAAAACAAGAAATGGGGAAAGGATTGCCTATTTAATAAAAGGTGCTGAGAAAACTGGCTAGCCAGCTGTAGAAAGCTGAAACTGGATCCCTTCCTTACACCTTATACGAAAATTAATTCAAGATGGATTAAAGACTTACATGTCAAGCCTAAAACCATAAAAACCCTAGAAGAAAACCTAGGCAATACCATTCAGGACATAGGCATGGGCAAGGACTTCATGTCTAAAACACCAAAAGCAATGGCGACAAAAGCCAAAATTGACAAATGGGATCTAATTCAACTAAAGAGCTTCTGCACAGCAAAAGAAACTACCATCAGAGTGAAGAGGCAACCTACAGAATGGGAGAAAATTTTTGCAATCTACTCATCTGACAAAGGGCTAATATCCAGAATCTACAAAGAACTCAAACAAATTTACAAGAAAAAAACAAACAACCCCATCAAAAAGTGGGTGAAGGATAAGAACAGACACTTCTCAAAAGAAGACATTTATGTGTCCAACAGACACATGAAAAATGCTCATCATCACTGGCCATAAGAGAAATGCAAATCAAAACCACAATGAGATACCATCTCACACCAGTTAGAATGGCGATCATTAAAAAGTCAGGAAACAACAGGTGCTGGAGAGGATGTGGAGAAATAGGAACACTTTTACGCTGTTGGTGGGACTATAAACTAGTTCAACCATTGTGGAAGACAGTGTGGGGATTCCTCAAGGATCTAGAACTAGAAATACCATTTGACCCAGCCGTCCCATTACTGGGTATATACCCAAAGGATTATAAATCATGCTGCAATTAAGGCACATGCACACATATGTTTATTGTGGCACTATTCACAATAGCAAAGACTTGGAACCAACCCAAATGTCCAACAATGATAGACTGGATTAAGAAAATGTGGCACATATACACCATGGAATACTATGCAGCCATAAAAAATGATGAGTTCATGTTCTTTGTAAGGACATGGATGAAGCTGGAAACCATCCTTCTCAGCAAACTATCACAAGAACAAAATCCAAACACTGCATGTTCTCACTCATTGGTGGGAATGGAACAATGGGAACACTTGGACGTAGGAAGGGGAACATTACCCACTGGGGCCTGTTGTGGGGTGGTAGGAGGTGGGAGGGAAAGCATTAGGAGATATACCTAATGTAAATGATGAGTTGATGGGTGCAGCACACCTACATGGCACGTGTATACATATGAAACAAACCTGCATGTTGTGCACATGTACCCTAGAACTTAAAGTATAATAAAAAAATAAAAAGAGGAAGTTGAGGCAATATTAGCCTCCTTTGCATTTGACAACACTTCAATTCTGATTTGCTAAAATATCTCAAAACTTCTTTATAAAAATGCTTTTTATCTCTTATTTTATGTTCAAGGGCACACGTGCAGGTGTGTTATATAGGTAAATTCTGTGTCATGGGGGTTGGGTGTACAGATTAGTCACCCAGGTAATAAGCCTAGTACCCCATAGTCTTTCAATTTTCACCCTCCTCTGACACTCCGCTCTCAAGTAAATCCCTGCCTCTGCTGTTCCATTCTTTGTGTCCACATGTACTTGATGTTTAGCGCCCACTTATAAGTGAGAACCTGTGGTATTTGATTTTCTGTTCCTATGTTAGTTTGCTTAGGATAATGGCCTACAGCAGCACCCATGTTACCTTCTTTGAGAAATCACCAAACTGCTTTCCACAGTGGCTGAACTAACTTGCATTCCCACCAGAAATATATAAGCATTCCCTTTTCTCTGCATCCTCACCAACATCTATTATTTTTTCACTTTTTAATAATACACTTTTTGGTTGGGGTCAGATGATGTCTCATTCTGGTTTTGATTTTCATTTCTCTAAGAATTAGTGGTGTTGAGCATTGTTTCATATACTTATTGGCTGTATGTAAGTCTTCTCTTGAAAAGTATCTGCTCATGTTATTTGCCCACTTTTTAACTCAGTTGTTTGTTTTCTGCTTGTAAATTTAAGTTCCTTACATATTCTGGGTATTAGACCTTTGTTGGATGCATAGTTTGTGAATGTCTTCCCCCATTGTGTAGGTTTTCTATTTATTCCGTTGATAGCTTCTTTTACTGTGCAGAAGATCTTTAATTTAATTAGGTCCCGTTTGTCAATTTTTGTTTTTGTTGCAATGGCTTTTGGCATCTTTTTTTGTAAAATCTTTGCCTGTTTATACATCCAGAATGAAACTTTTTAGGTTATTTTCCATGGTGTTTATAGTTTTAGGTTTTATATTTAAGTCTTAAATTGATCTTGAGGGTTTTTTAAATAGTGTAAGGGACACGACAAGTTTCAATCTTCTGCATTTTATTAGCCAGTTATTCCAGCACCGTTTATTGAATAGGAAGTCCTTTCCCTATTTCCCGTTTTTGATGATTTTTTTAAAGATCAGATAGGTGTAGGTGTGCAGCATTATTTCTGGACTCTCTCTCATGTTCAGTTGGTCTGTGTGTCTGCTTTTGTGTCTGTACCATGCTGTTTTGGTTACTGTACACTTTTATTATAGATGGAAATTGAGCAATGTGATGACTCCAGCTCTGTTTTCCTACTTTTTGCTTCTTTTTGAATGTTTTGATTTTTAATATTTTGGGGTAGGTTGTAGGTATATATATATTTATGGGATACATGTTATATTTTGATACAGACACGCAATGTTAAATAATCACATTATGGAGAATAAGGTATCAGTCATATCAAGCATTTATTCCTTGTGTTGCAAACAATACAATTACACTTTTTCAGTTATTGAAAATTATACAATTAATTTATTATTATCATTATTATTTTGAAACTGACTCTTGCTTTGTTGTCCAGGCTGGAGTGCAGTAGCATGATCTTGGCTCAGTGCTATCTCTGCCTCCTTGGTTCAACCAATTCTCCTGCCTTAGACTCTCTAGAAGCTGTGATTACAGGCGCCACCACCATGCCCAGTTAATTTTTGTATTTTTAGTAAAGATGGGGTTTCACCATGTTAGCCAGGCTGGTCTGGAACTCCTGACCTTAGGTGATCCACCAGCCTCAGCCTCTCAAAATGCTGGGATTACAGATGTGGGACATTGCGCCTGGCCCAATTAATTTATTATTGAGTATAGTCACCCTGTTGTGCGATCAAATAATAGGTCTTATTCATTCTTTCTAAGGACTTTTTGTACCCATTAAAAATCCCCACCTACCTCTCATCCTCCCACTACTTTTCCAAGCCATGGGTAACCATCCTTCTACTCTCTATGTCCATGAGTTTGTTTTGATTTTTAGATTCCACAGATAAGTGATAGCATGCAATGTTTGTCTTTCTGTGCCTGGCCTGTTTTACTTAACGTAATGATCTCCGGTTTTATCCCTGTTGTTGCAAATGACAGGATCTCATTTATTTTTGTGGCTGAATAGTACCCAATTGTGTATATGTACTGCATTTTTTTATCCATTCATTGTTGATAGACATTTAGGTTGCATCCGAATCTTGGCTACTGTGAACAGTGCTAGAAAAAACATGGAAATGAAGACACGTCTTTGGTATACTGATTTTCTTTCTTATGGGTATGTACCTAGCAGATGCTTTGCTGCATCATATGGTAGTTCAATTTTTGTTTTTGTGAGAAAGCTCCAAACTATTTTTTATACGGGTTGTGCTAATTTACATTCTCAGCAACAGTGTACAAGTGTTCTGTTTTCTCCACATTCTCACCAGCATTTATCATCGTGTCTCATTTTGATATAAGCCATTTTAACTGGGGTGAGATGATATCACACTGTAGATTTGATTTGCATTTCTCTAATATTCAATTGTCTTGAAGACATTTTTATATGACTGTTTGTCATTTGCATGCCTCCTTTTGAGAAATGTCTGTTCAAGTCTTTTGCCCAAGTTTGGATCAGATTATTAGATTTATTTCTACATAGTTGTTTGAGCTTATATATTCTCATTCTTAGTCCCTTCTCAGATAGGTACTTTGCCAATATCTTCTCTCATTCTCTGAGTTGTCTTTTCACTTTGTTGATTGCTTCCTTTGCTTTGCAGTACGTTTTTAACTTGATTTGATCCCATTTGTCCATTTTTGCTTTGGTTGCCTGTGCTCCTGCGGTAATGCTCCAGAAAATTGTATCCTGCTCCAGAAAGTTGTACTGAGACCAATGACCTGTAAAATTTATCCAAACTTTTTTTAGTAGTTTCATAGTTTGGTTTCTTAGATTTAAATCTTTCATTCAATTTAATTTAATTTTTATATACAGCATAAGATAGAGGTCTAATTTCACTATTCTGCATATGGATATCCAATTTTCCCAGCAATATTCATTGAAGAGCCTGTATTTCCATAGCATATGTTTTTGGAAACGTTTTGTCAAAAATAAATTCACTGAAAGTGTGTGGAATTGTTTCTGAGTTCTTTGTTGTGTTCTATTGGTCTATGTATCTTTTTTTATGCCAGTACCATGATGTTCTGGTTACTATAACTCTGTAATATAATGAAGGAAAATAAGGTAATTTCTCCAGTCTTGTTCATTTTACTTAGAATAGCTTTGACTCTTCTGTGTCTGTTGTGGTTCCATATACATTTTAAAATTATTTTTTTCTATTTCTGTGAAGAATGTCATTTGCATATTTACAGGGATTGATTTTAGTCTGTAGATTGCTTTGTGTAGTATGGGCATTTTAATAATATTGTTTCTTCCAAGACATAAACATAAAATGGTTTTTCCATTTTTTATTCTCTCAATGTCTTTCATTAGTGCTTTATGTATTTTATTATAGAGATATTTCACTTTTTCAGTTAATTCCTAGGTATTTAATTTTATCTGTGGCTATTATAAATGGAATTACTTTTTTGTTTTATTTTTTCAGATTTCTCACTGTGGGCATATAGAGATGCTAGTGATTTTTGTATGTTCATTTTGTATCCTGCATCTTTATTAAATTCGTTTATCTAATAGTTTCTCTGTGGAGTCTTCAGGTTTGATATGCTTTAGATCTGTGTCCCTCCCCAAATTATAATCCCCAATGTTGGCAATGGAACCTAGTGGGAGGTGATTTGATCATAGAGGCAGTTCCTCCTGTATGGTTTAGCATCTTTCCTCTTGGTACTGTTGTTAGGATAGTGAGTAAGTTCTCATGAGATTTGATTGTTTAAAAGTTTGTAGCTCCTCCTCCTGCTTTCTTTTGTGCTTCTTCTCTGGCTATGTAAAGTGCTGATTCCTCTTTGACTTCTGCCATAATTGAAAGTTTCCTGAGGCCTCCCCAAAAACTGAGCATGTGTCAACATCATGCTTCCTGTACAGCCTGCAGAACTGTGAGCCCATTAAAACTCTTTTCTTTATGAATTACCCAGTTTTAGATGTTTCTTTATAGCAGTGCACCAAGGGAGTATTACAATATTTTTCAAAATACAAGGTCATATTATCTGAAAACAAAGAAAATTTTACATCTTCCATTCAAATTTAGATGCCCTTTATTTCCTTCTCTTTTCTAATTGCCCTAGCTGGGACTTCCAGTACCATGTTGAATAGCAGTAGAGAAAGTCGAAATTCTTATCATGTTCCAGATCTTGGGAGAAAGGATTTCAGTTATTTCCCATTCAGTATGATGCTGTGGGTCCGTCGGATATGGCATTTATTATTTTGAGATATGTTTCTTCTATACTCAGTTTTTTTAGCATTCTTTTTATTATTTATTTATTTATTTATTTATTTATTTATTTACTATTATACTTTAAGTTTTAGGGTACATGTGCACAATGCGCAGGTTTGTTACATATGTATACAAGTGCCATGTTGGTGTGCTGCACCCATTAACTCGTCATTTAGCGTTAGGTATATCTCCTAATGCTATCCCTCCCCCCTCACCCCAGACCACAACAGGCCCTAGTGTGTCATGTTCCCTTTCCTGTGTCCATGTGTTCTCATTGTTCAGTTCCCACCTATGAGTGAGAATATGCAGTGTTTGGTTTTTTGTCCTTGCGATAGTTTGCTGAGAATGATAGTTTCCAGCTTCATCCATGTCCCTGCAAAGGACACAAACTCATCATTTTCTATGGCTGCATAGTATTCCATGGTGTATATGTGCCACATTTTCTTAATCCAGTCTATCATTGTTGGACATTTGGGTTGGTTCTAAGTCTTTGCTATTGTGAATAGTGCCGCAATAAACATATGTGTGCATGTGTCTTTATAGCAGCATGATTTATAGCCCTTTGGGTATATACCCAGTAATGGGATGACTGGGTCAAATGGTATTTCTAGTTCTAGATCCCTGAGGAATCACCACACCTATTCCCACAATGGTTGAGCTAGCTTTCACTCCCACCAACAGTGTAAAAGTGTTCCTATTTCTCCACATCCTCTCCAGCAACTGTTGTTTCCTGACTTTTTAATGATTGCCATTCTAACTGGTGTGAGATGGTATCTCATTGTGGTTTTGATTTGCATTTCTCTGATGGCCAGTGACGATGAGCATTTTTTCATGTGTTTTTTGGCTGCATAAATGTCTTCTTTTGAGAAGTGTCTGTTCATATCCTTCAACCACTTTTTGATGTGGTTGTTTGTTTTTTTTCTTGTAAATTTGTTTGAGTTCATTGTCGATTCTGGATATTAGCCCTTTGTCAGATGAGTAGGTTGTGAAAATTTTCTCCCATTCTGTAGGTTGCCTCTTCACTCTGATGGTAGTTTCTTTTGCTGTGCAGAAGCTCTTTAGTTGAATTAGATCCCATTTGTCAATTTTGACTTTTGTTGCCATTGCTTTTGGTGTTTTAGACATGAAGTCCTTGCCCATGCCTATGTCCTGAATGGTATTGCCTAGGTTTTCTTCTAGGGTTTTTATGGTTTTAGGCTTGACATGCAAGTCTTTAATCCATCTTGAATTAATTTTTGTATAAGGTGTAAGGAAGGGATCCAGTTTCAGCTTTCTACATGTAGCTAGCCAATTTTCCCAACACCATTGAGCATTCTTTTATTAAAGGGTGTTGAATTTTGTCATTCATGGTGTAGCCACTAATAATCTTTAAATTTTTTGCAGTATAAGTTGTAATGCCTTCTTTTTCCATTTCTGATTTTATGTATTTGAATATTATTTTTTTCTTAGTCTGGGTAAATATTTGTCAATTTTGTTTAACTTTAAAAAACATATTTTTGTTTTATTAATCTTTTTTATTGTTCTCTTTATTTCAAATTTATTTATTTCTGTTCTAATTTTTATTATTTATTTCCTTCTACTACTTTTGGGTTTTTGTAGTTCTTTAAGATGCATCATTACATTTTTAATTTAAAATTTTTCTGGTTTTTAATGCAGGTGATGTAGCTGTAAACTTTCATTGTAGTACTCCTTTTGTTGTATCTCATAGGTTTGGTATGTTGTGTTTTCAATTAGTATTTGCAGAATAATTACTTAGAACTAGAATATCCATCCAGATTCATACAATACCCATACCTTTTGTCCTTTCTGAGCTGGTTGGTTCACAGGAACAAGCAGGGTTAATCTAAAAATGTAGGCAAAAACTTAAATAAAACTCGTGAGTTTAGAATTTAATGACAAATATGTTTTAAAACATGATTTTTCTCTTAACAGTCCTCATTTTTGTTAAATAAAACAAATCATGATAGGACTGAATTGTTTGCAAAATAGACTTTATAATCTTATACTTGGCCTTATTATTTGCATAAAGTGCAGCAAGAATAATTACTTCTACATAGGCCTTTTGGATTGGCTTTGATGGAAGCCTGTTTCACAAGGAATCTCAGATAAGACCTTTTAAAGCTGAGCCCAGCCATGGGTTTGTAACCTTAAATACTTCCGAGTTGGGTGATCCTTTTTTCTTAAGGTCTCAAGATAAACTTGGAGCTCCTGGTACTGTAAGAAAGTGACATTCCTTACTGACCACAGGTCAGAAACCCTGTGCAAGGACCACATAAACAAGGGTACGAGGCCAGATTCCCCACAGCGCTTTTATTGGCTTTGCAAGTTGAGATTGACTCCTTAAAGGGAAGCATACACTCCAGTTAAAGCCTTGGTAAAATAACCAGTTTCTTCCAGTTGTGTCCTGTTGCAAAAGAAAAATGTCTTCTTATTACACTGATGCAAACAACTATATTGCCATGAGTTAATAATACTCACAGATAGTTTCCAAATCCTGGAGGAACCAGGCAGAGAGAAACAAACATGCTCCAAATCTTGATCACAGGAGTACTCAATCATTTAAAACTGTAAATAGTTTAAAATAAGTTTCCTTTACTCTGAAAAACAAAACAAGGATCAGCAATATTCCAAGCAAAAGTCAAAAACACTGCTTCAGTTTCCTGAATTCAGTCCATTTAGTTAGCTCTTGTTTTGCTTGATATTTGTGAACACTTTAGCTCGTTATGAGTCCTGTACATTTTTTCTTTATTTCGATGTTACAATTCCCAAAGTTATCAGAAACCTGTACTTGAGAGCACCTGTTAAAGTTTTGTAGCTTATTATAAAACATCTTTTAAAAAGAAATAAAACAAAACAACCATTATATGTGAATAGCAAAATGTCCAGGGTAGATACAGTTAAAAATACAATTGACAAAGAAAGTTGGTTATGTCTGTGGTTTACAATAACTTAGCATAACAACCTTAATTATAACTTGTAGCTTATACTTAGACATTAGAATTTTGGAAATCCCATACAATTTTGGAACGTATATTAGCATTCACCAAAATATAACCTAAAGAAGTTCGAACGTTGTTTTGGCAATTTCATGTACCTAAGTATGTCAAATAATCCTGTCTACCTCTCTTTTCTGAATGTTTCAGGGGCCCTCTGAAGTATCCAAAAAGCCAGAGGTTAGAAAAGACAATTTTGCAACTGAAGTTTGATTTTGGAAAGCTTGTTAAATATATTTAAAGCACTTGATATTATGAAATAGAATTCCATATTACCATAAGTTATTTATTTTGCCAAAATGATGACTCAGAAATTTAAAGAAGCAGAAATATTTTATAACCTTTTACAAATTTTGTCAAAAAGCAGATTAGCACCTTAAGAAAGCCTTGTTGTTCTTTTATTTCAATGCTTAATTTGCAGAAAAACCGTATGTTACCCTTTTGAATTTAGTCAATATGTTCACAAAGAGAACCTATTTTGCAAGATTAATTTCCACAATCTTTCCATCACTTGTTTGAATACTCAGCTTTATTTTATCTAGTTTAAAACAATCCTTTAACTATAGGCAAAAATTCACACTTTTGTGCCTTCTTATAACATTTTAATAAAAAACACATTTTACTGTTCTTACACACCTTACATGTAAATCTATTTTCAGTAGTATCAATCACATGTTATAATGGTAACTCCCAGCAATTTTTAACTCTGTTTTTTTCTTTTATTTTTATTTTTAATTTTTTTCTTGTAATTGATTGTATTTTCATTTTTTAAAATTTTTCCGTAGGTTATTTGGGTACAGGTGGTGTTTGATTACATAAGTTCTTTAGGTGATTTGTGAGATTTTGGTGCACCCATCAGCCGAGCAGTACATACTGTACTTTATTTGTAGTCTTTTATCTCTCACCTCTCTCCTACCTTTCCCCCAAAGTCCCTACAGTCCATTGCATCATTCTTATGCCTTGGCATCCATATAGCTTAGCTCCCACAAAGCAGTGAGAACATACAATGTTTGGTTTTCCATTCCTGAGTTACCTCACTTAGAGTAATAATCTCCAATCTCATCCAGATTGCTGCAAATGTTATTAGTTCATTCCTTTGTATGACTGAGTAGTATTCCATCATATATATACGTAACCAACACAAATGCCCATCAATCAATGAGTTTTTTAATCCACTCATGGATTAAAAAAACTGTTATTTTATCTACTCGTTGATTGATAGGGATTTGTGTTGATTACACGATTTTGCAATTGAAAATTTTGCTGCTATAAACATGCATGTGCAAGTATCTTTTTTGTATAATGACTTCTTTCCCTCTGGGTAGATGTCCAGTAGTGGGATTGCTGGATCAAATGGTAGTCCTACTTTTAGTTCTTTATGAAATCTCCACACTGTTTTTCATAGTGGTTGTACTAGTTTACATTCCCACCAGCAATATAGCAGCGTTCCCTGACTACCACATCCATGCCAACATCTACTGTTTTTGATTTTTTGATTATGGCCATTCTTGCAGGAGTAACGTGGTATCATGTTGTGGTTTTGATTTGCATTTCCCCGATCATTAGTGATGCTGGGCATTTTTTCATGTTTGTTGGACATTTGCATGTCTTCTTTTGAGAATTGTCTATTCATGTCTTTAGCCCACTTTCGGATAGAATTTTTTGTTTTTTTCTTGCTGATTTGTTTGAGTTCTTTGTAGATTGTGGATATTAGTCCTTTGTCATATGTATAGATTGTGAAGATTATCTCCTGCTCTGTAGGTTGTCTGTTGACTCTGCCAACTGTTCCTTTTGCCATGCAAAAGCTCTTTAATTTAATTAAGTCCTAGTTATTTATATTTGCTTTTTATTACATTTGCTTTTGGGTACTTGGTCGTGAAATCCTTGCCAAAGCCAATGTCTAAAAGGAGTTTTACAATGTTAACTTCTAGAATTTTTATAGTTTCAAGTCTTAGATTTAAGTCCTTAATTCATCTTGAGTTGCTTTTTGTATAAGGTAAAAGATGAGGATCCAGTTTCATTCTTCTGCATGTGGCTGCATATTTTTGTTTGCTTTGTCAAAGATCAGTTGGCTGTAAGTATTTGGTTTTATTTTTTGGTTCTCTATGTAGTTCAATTTGTCTATGTGCCTATTTTTATACCAGTATGATGCTGTTTTGGTGACTATGGCCTTATAGTAAAGTTTGAAATCAGGTTGTGTGATGCCTGCAGATTTGTTCTTTTTGCTTCGTCTTGCTTTGACTATGCAGGTTCTTTCTTGGTTCCATATGGATTTTAGAATTGTTTTTTTCTAATTCTGAAAGAATGATCGTTGTATGTTAATGGAGATCACATTGAATTTGTAGATTTCTTTTGGCAGTATGGTCATTTTTACAATATTGATTCCACCCATTCATGAGCATGGGATGTGTTTACAATTTTTTGTGTTGTTTATGATTCCTTTCAGCAGAGTTTTATAGGTTTCCTTGTAGGGGTATTTTGCCTCCTTGGTTAGTTATATTCCTAAGTATTTTTTTTTTCTGCAGCTATTGTAAAAGGGGTTGAGTTCTTGATCTGATTTTCTGCTTGTTCGCTCTTGGTATATAGAAGAGCTACTGATTTCTGTACATTAATCTTGTATCCAGAAACTTTGCTGAATTCTTTTATCAGTTCTAGTAGCTTTCTGGAGGTGTCTTTAGGGGTTTCAAGGTAAACAATTATGTCATCGGAAAAGAGTTACAGTTTGATTTACTCTGTATTGACTTTGGTGCCCTTTATTTCTTTCTCCTGTCTGATTGCTTTGGCTAGGACATTCAGTATTATGTTGAAGAGGAATGGTGAGGGTAGGCATCCTTGTCTTGTTCAAGTTCTCAGAGGAAATGCTTCCAACTTTTTTCCACTCAGTATTATGTTGGCTGTGGGTTTGTCATAGTTGGCTTTTATTACATTAAGGTGTGTCAATTCTTTGCTAATTTTGCTGAGAGTTTTATTCATAAAGTGTTGCTGGATTATCTCAATAGACGCAGAAAAGACTTTTGATAAAACTCAACATACATTCCTGTTAAAAACTCTCAATAAACTAGGTACTGAAGGAACATACCTCAGAATAATAAGAGCTGTCTATGACACACCCACAGCCAACATCATACTGAATGGACAAAATCTGGAAACATTCCCCTTGAAAAGAACCACAAGACAAAGATGCCATCTGTCAACACTCCTATATGACATATTTTTGGAAGTTCTGGCCAGGACAATCAGGCAAGACAAGGAGAATAAAGACATTCAAATAGGAAGAGAGAAAGTCAAGCTATCCCTATCTGCAGATAACATAATTCTCTATATAGAAAACTCCACAGTCTCAGCCAAAAAGCTTCATAAGCTGAAAAACAACTTTAGCAAAGTCTCAGGATACAAAATCAATGTGCAAAAATTACTAGCATTCCTATACACCAACAGAGTCAAGCTGATAGCCAAATCAGGAACAAACTCCCATTCACAACTGCCACAAAAAGAATAAAATATCTAGAAATACAAGTAACTGTGGAGGTAAAAGATCTCTATAAGGAGAATTACAAACCACTGTTCAAAAAAAAAAAAATCAAAGATGACACAAACAAATGGGTAAACATTCCAAACTCATGAACAGAAAAAAATCAATACTGTTAAAATGGCCATACTTCCCAAAGAAATTTACAAATTCAATGCTATGCCCATTAAACTAAAATTAACATTCTTTATAGAGCTAGGAAAAAAAATATTTTAAAATTCATATGAAAACAAAAAAGAACCTGAGTAGCCAAGGCAATCCTAAGCAAAAAGAGTAAAGTTGGAGGCATCATACTACCAAACTTCAAACTATACTACAGGGCTATGGTAACCCAAACAGCATGGTACTGTAACAAAAACAGACACATGGACCAAAGGATAAGAATAGAAATCCCAGAAATAAGACTGTACACCTACAACCATCCAATATTCAACAAAGCTGAGAAAATCAAGCAATGGGGAAAGGATTCTCTATTCAACAACAAATGGTGCTGAGATAATTGGCTAGCCATATGCAGAAGATAGAAACTGAACCCCTTCCTTACACCTTATAAGAAAATTAACTCAAGATTGATTAAATACTTAAATGTAAAGCCCAAAACTATAAAAACCCTGGAAGACAATGTAGGCAAAGTATTCAGGACATAGGCACGGGCAAATATTTTATGACAAAGACACAAAGGGCAATTGCAACAAAAGCAAAAATTAACAAACAGGATCTAATTAAACTAAAGAACTTATGCACGGTTTAGTAAACTATCATCAGAGTGAAGTGACAACCTACAGAATGGGAGAAAAATGTTTGCAGACTATGCATCTGACAAAGGTCTAATATTCACCATCTATAAGGAACTTAAACAAATTTACAAGAAAAAAAACAAACAATCCTATAAAAAGTGAAGGAAGGACATGAACAGACACTTTTCAAAAGAAGTAATATATGTGGCCAACAATCATAAGAAAAAAATCCTCAACATCACTGATTATTAGAGAAATACAAATCAGAATGACAATGAGATATCATCTAATACCAGTCAGAATGGCTACTATTGAAAGGTCAAAAAATAACAGATGCTGGTGAGATTGTGAATAAAAAGGAATGCTTATACACTGTTGATGGGAGTGTAAATTAATTCAACCATTGTGGAAAAGAGTGTGATGGTTCCTCAAAGACCTAAAGACAGAAATTCCGTTTGACTCAACAGTTCAATTACTGAGTATATAAACAAAGGAATATAAATAATTCTATTACAAAGAGACATGCTTATGTATGTTCATTGCAGCACTATTCACAATAGCAAAGACAAAGTCAACCTAAATGTCCATCAATGATACAGTGAATAAAGAAAATGTGGTAAACATACTCCATGGAATTCTATGCAGCCATAAAAGAGAATGAGATTATGTCCTCTGCAAAGACATAAATGAAGCTGTGGCCCATCATTCTTAGCAAACTAATACAGCAACAGGAAACCAAATACCACATGTTCTCATTTATAAGTGAGAGTTAATGATAACACATAGACACATGGGGAGAAGAAAACACACAAGGGACTTTTGTAGGTTGGAGCGTGGGAAGAGGGAGAGTATCAAGGAAAGCTACTAAGGAGAGTATCAAGGAAAACTACTAATGGCTTAACACATGGATGATGAAATAATCTATATAACAAATCTCCATGACACGAGTTTACCTATGTAACTAACCTGCACTTGTACACCTGAACTAAAAATAAAAGTTAAAAAACTTTTTTTTAATAAAAAGCAATACAGGAATAAAATGAAAAGCACAAGAAAGATAAAAAACATATGAAAGAATCAAGCAGGCAGCTGGCAAATGGCCAAATAGGAACAGCTCCAGTCTGCAGTTCCAGTGAGATCAATGCAGAAGGCAGGTGATTTCTGCATTTCCAACTGAGGCACATGGCTTATCTCATTGGGACTGGTTAGACAGTGGGTGCAGCCCATGGAGGGCAAGCAGAAGCAGGATGGGGCATCACCTCACCTGGGAAGCACAAAGGTTCAGAGAACTCCCTCCCTTAGCCAAGGGATGCTGTGAGAGACTGTGCTGTGAGGAAAGGTGCATTCCAGCCCAGATACTATGCTTTTTCCATGGTCTTTGCAACCCGCAGACCAGGAGATTCCCTCTGGTGATTACGCTACCAGGCCCTGGACTTCCAGCACAAAACTGAGGAGACACCGAGCTAGCTGCAGGAGTTTCTTTTCAAACCCCAGTGGCACCTGGAATGCAAGCAAGACAGAACCGTTCACTCCCCTGGAAAGGGGGCTGAAGCCAGGGAGCCAAGTGGTCCAGCTCAGTGGATCCCACCCCCACAGAGCCAAGCAAGCTAAGATCCACTTGCTTGAAATTCTCGCTGCCAGTGCAGCAGTCTGAAGTTGACCTGGGACATTCCAACTTCGTGGGTGGAGGGGCGCCCATCATTACTGAGGCTTGAGTTGGCAGTTTTCCCCTCACAGCATAAACAAAAACACAAACAAACAAAGAAACAAAGACACAAAAAAAGAAACAAAGGGAAGTTCAAACTCAGCGGGGCCCACCACAGCTTGGCAAAGCTGCTGCAGCCAAACTACCTCTCTAGATTTCTCCTCTCTGGACAGGGCATCTCTGAAAGAAAGGCAGCAGCCCCAGTCAGGGGCTTATAGATAAAACTCCCATCTCCCTGGGACAGAGCACCTAGGGAAAGTGGTGGCTGTGGGCACAGCTTCAGCAACTTAAACATTCCTGCCTGCCAGCTCTGAAGAGAGCAGCAGATCTCCCAGCACAGCACTTGAGCTCTGCTAAGGGACAGAGTACCTCCTCAAGTGGGTCCCTGACCCCCTTGCCTCCTGATTGGGAGACACTTCCCAGCAGGGGTCGACAGTCATCTCAGGAGAGCTCTGGATGGAATCTGGTGAGTTCCCCTCTGAGACGAAGCTTCCAGAAGAAGGAACAGGCAGAAATCTTTGCTGTTCTGCAGCCTCTGCTGGTGATACACAGGCAGACAGGGTCTGGAGTGGACCTCCAACAAACTGCAGCAAACCTGCAGCAGAAGGGCCTGAAAGTTAGAAAAAAAACTAGCAAACAGAAATGAATAGTATCAACATCAACAAAAGAATGTCTACAAAAAACCCCAACAGAAGGTCACCAACATAAGACCAAAGGTAGACAAATCCATTAAGATAGGGAGAAACCAGTGCAAAAAGGCTAAAAAATGCAAAATCCAGAATGCCTCCTCTTCCAAAGTATCACAACTCCTCGCCAGCAAGGGAATAAAACTGGCCTAAGAATGAGCTTGACGAATTGACAGAAGTAGACTTCAGAAGGTGAGTAATAACAAACTCCTGGAGCTAAAGGAGCGTGTTCTAACCCAGTTCAAGGTAGCTAAGAACCTTGAAAAAAGGTTAGACAAATTGCTAACTAGAATAACCAGTTTAGAGAACATAAATGACCTGATGGAACTGAAAAACACACCATGAGAACATCGTGAAGCATAAACAAGTATCAATAGCCGAATCCACATAGCAGAAGAAAAGATATCAGATATTGAAAATCAACTTAATGAAATAAAGCATGAAGATAAGATTAGAGAAAAAGGAATGAAAAGGAATGAACAAAGCCTCCAAGAAATATGAGACTGTGAAAAAACCAAACATATGTTCGATTGGTGTACCTGAAACTGACAACGGAGAATGGAACCAAGTTGGAAAACACTCTTCGGGATATTATCCAAGAGAACTTTCCCAACCTAGCAAGACACGCCAACATTCAAATTCAGGAAATACAGAGAACACCACAGGTACTCCTCCAGAAGAGCAATCCCAAGACACACAATCACCAGATTCACCAAAGTTGAAATGAAGGAAAAAATGTTAAGGGCAGCCAGAGAGAAAGGTCGAGTTACTCACAAAGGGAAGCTCATCAGACTAACAGTGTATCTCTCAGCAGAAACCCTACAAGCCAGAAGAGGGTGGAGGCCAATATTCAACATTCTTAAAGGAAGAATTTTCAACCCAGAATTTCATATCCAGCCAAACTAAGCTTCATAAGCAAAAGGGCAATAAAATCCTTTACAGACAAGCAAATGCTGAGATATTTTGTCACCACCAGGTGTCCCTTACAAGAGCTCCTGAAGGAAGCACTAAACATGGAAAGGAACAACTGGTACTAGCAACCACAAAAACATAGCAAATTGTAAAGACCATAGACACTATGAAGAAGCTACATTAACTAAAGGGCAAAATATCCAGCTATTATGATAATGACAGAATCAAATACACACATAACAATATTAACCTTAAATATAAATGGGCTAAATGCCCCAATTAAAAGACACAGACTGGCAAATTGGATAAAGAGTCAAGACCCATCACTGTGTTGTATTCAGGAGACTCATTTCACATGCAAAGACACACATATGCTCAAAATAAAGGAATGAAAGAATATTTAGCAAGCAAATGGTAAGCAAAAAAAGCAGGAGTTGCAATCCTAGTCTCTGATAAAACAGACTTTAAACCAATGGAGATAAAATGAGACAAAGAAGGGCATTGCATAATGGTAAAGGGATCAATGCAACAAGAATAGCTAAATATCCTAAATAAATATGCACCCAATACAGGAACACCCAGATTCATAAAGCCAGTTCTTAGAGACATACAAAGAGACTTAGAATCCCACACAATAATAGTGGGAGACTTTAACACACCACATTCAATATTATATCAAGGATACAGAAAATTAATAAGGACATTCAGGACTTGAAATCCTCTGTACCAAGGAGACCTAACAGACATCTACAGAACTCTCCACCCCAAATCAACAAAATATACATTTTTATCATCATAACATCACACTTATTCTAAAATTAACCACATAATTGGAAGTAAAACACTCCTCAGCAAATGCAAAAGAATGGAAATTATAACAAAAAGTCTCTCAGACCACAGTGGAATCAAATTAGAACTTAGGATAAAGATGCTCACTCAAAACCACAGAACTACATGGAAATTGTACAACCTCCTCCTGAATGACTACTGGGTAAATAATGAAATGACGGGAGAAATAAATAAGTTCTTTGAAACTAATGAGAACAAAGAGGCAACATACCAGAATCTCTGGGACACAGCTAAAGAAGTGTTTAGAGGGAAATTTATAGCACTAAATGCCCACAAGAGAAAGCAGGAAAGATCTAAAGTCGACACCCTAACATCACAATTAAAAGAACTAGAGAAGCAAGAGCAAACAAATTCAAAAGCTAGCATTAAGACAAGACATAACTAAGATCAGAGCAGAATGGATGGAGATAAAGACACAAAAAGCCCTTCAAAAAATCAATGAATGGCTGTTTTTTTGAAAACATTAACAAAATAGAGCACTAGCCAGAATAATAAACAAGAAAAGAGAGAAGAATCAAGTAGATGCAGTAAAAAATGATAAAGGGAACATTACCACAGATCCCACAGAAATACAAACTAACATCAGAGAATGCTATAAACACCTCAAAGCAAATAAACTAGAAAATCTAGAAGAAATGGAAGAATTCCTGGACACATACACCCTCCCAAGTCTAAACCAGGAAGTCCAATCCCTGAATAGACCAATAAGAAGTCCTGAAATTGAGGTGGTAATTAAGAACCTACAAACAAACAAACAAAAAAAGGCCAGGACCAGACGGATTCACAGCCGAAATATACCAGAGGTACAAAGATGAGCTGGTACCATTTCTTCTGAAACTATTCCAAAAAAATAGAAAAAGAGGGAATCCTCTCTAACTCATTTTATGAGGCCAGTACCAACCTGATAACAAAACCTGGCAAGACACACACACACACAAAAGAAAATTTCAGGCCAATATCCTCAATGAACATCAATGCAAAGATTCTCAACAAAATACCGGCAAACCAAATCCAGTAGCACATCAAAAAGCTTATCCACCATGATCAAGTAAGCTTCATCCCTGGGATGCAAGCCTGGTTCAACATATGCAAATCAATAAACATAATCCATCACATAAACAGAACCAATGACAAAAACCATATGATTATCTGAATAGATGCAGAAAAAGCCTTTGATGAAATTCAACAGCCCTTCTCAATAAACTAGGTATTGATGGAATGTATCTCAAATTCATAAGAGCTATTTATGACAAACCCACAGCCAATATCATACTGAATGGGCAAAAACTGGAAGCATTTCCTTTGAAAACTGGCACAAGATAAGGATTCCCTCTCCCACCACTCCTATTCAACATAGTATTGAAAGTTCTGGCCAGGACAATCAGGCAACAGAGAAATAAAGGGTATTCAAATAGGAAGAGAGAAAGTCAAATTGTCTCTGTTTGCAGATGACATGACTGTGTGTTTAGAAAACCCCATTGTCTCAGCCCTAAATCTCCTTTAGCTGATAAGCAACTTCAGCAAAGTCTCAGGATAAAAAAAATCAATGTGCAAAAATCACAAGCATTCCCATACACCAATAATAGACAGAGTGCCAAATCATGAGTGAATTCCCATTCACAATTGCAACTAAGAAAATAAAATACCTAGGAATACAACTCACAAGAGATATGAAGAACCTCTTTAAGCAGTACTACAAACCACTGCTCAAGGAAATAAGAGAAGACACAAACAAATGGAAAAACACTCCAGGCTCATGGATAGGAAGAATCAATATCATGAAAATGGCCATACTGCCCAAAGTAAGTTATAGATTCAATGCTATCCCCATCAAGCTAACATTGACTTACTTCACAGAATTAGAAAAATCTACTTTAAATTTCATATGAAACCAAGAAAGAGCCCACATAGCAAAGACAATCCTAAGCAAAAAGAACAAAGCTGGAGGCATCACATTAGCTGATTTCAAACTACACTACAAGGCTACAGTAACCAAAACAGCAGGGTACTTGTACCAAAACAAATATATAAACCAATGGAACAGAACAGGGGCCTCAGAAATAACATCACTCATCTACAACCATCTGATCTTTGACAAATCTGGCAAAAACAAGCAATGGGAAAGAATTCCTTATTTAATAAATGGTGTTGGGAAAACTGGCTAGCCATATGCAGAAAACGGAAACTGAACCCCTTCCTTACACCTTATACAAAAATTAACTCACGATGGATTAAAGACTTAAATGTAAGACCGAAAACCATAAAAACCCTAGAAGTAAACCTAGGCAATACCATTCAGAACATAGGCATGGGCAAAGACTTCATGACTACAACATCAAAAGCAATGGCAACAAAAGCCAAAATTGACAAATGGGATCTAATTAAATTAAAGAGCTTCTGCAGCGAAAAAAAGAAACTATTATCAGAGTGAACAGGTAACCTAGAGAATGGGAGAAAATTTTTGCAATCTATCCATCTGACAAACGGCTAATATCCAGAATCTACAAAGAATTTAAACAAATTTACAACAACAACAACAACAACAACAAAAACCCATCAAAAACTGGGAGAAAAATATGAACAGATACTTCTCAAAAAAAGACAGTTTTGCAGCCAACAAGCATATGAAATAAATCATGACCGGTCATTAGAGAAATGCAAATCAAAACCACAATGAGATACCATCTCACATCAGTTAGAATGGCGATTATTAAAAACTCAGGAAACAGCAGATGCTGGAGAGAATGTGAAGAAATAGGAATGCTTTTACACTGCTAGTGGGAATGTAAATTAGTTCAACCATTGTGGAAGACGGTGTGGTGATTCCTCAAGGATCTAGAACCAGAAGTACCATTTGACCCAGCAATTCCATTACTGGCTATATATCCAAAGATTAGAAATCATTCTACTATAAAGACACATGAACAGGTATGTTTATTGTGGCACTGTTCACAATAGCAAAGACTTGGCACCAACCCAAATGCCCATCAATGATAGACTGGATAAAGAAAATGTGGCACATATACACCATGGAATACTATGCAGCCATAAAAAAGGATGAGTTCATGTCCTTTTCAGGGACATGGATGAAGCTGGAAACCATCATTCTCAGGAAACTAATACAAGAGCAGAAAACCAAACACCACATGTTCTCACTCATAAGTGGGAGTTGAACAATAAGAACGCATAGACACATGGAGGGGAACATCACACACTGGGGCCTGTCAGGGGGTGGAGGGCTAGGGAAGGGATAGCATTAGGAGAAATAGTTAATATAGATGACAGGGTGACGGGTGCAGCAAACCACCATGGCACTTGTATACGTATGTAACCAACCTGCACGTTCTGTACATGTAACCCAGAACTTAAAGTATAAAAAAAAAAAAACCCTAATTTTAACACTAAAAAGAAAAAAAAATAGAATCAAGCAAAAATCTTGAAGCTGAGCAATACAATAACTGATTTTTTTTATAATTTCGACTTTTATCTTTGATTCAGTAGTACATGGCAGATTTATTACATGGGTATATTGCATGATGCTGAGGTTTGGGGTATGATTGATCCCATCACCCAGGTAGTAAGCATAAAACCCAAGAGGTAGTTTTTCAACCCTTCCCCCCTCCCTCCTACCTCCCTTTACAAGTCCCCAGTTTCTATTGTTGTCATCTTTGTGTCAATTACCCAATGTTTAACTTCCAATTAGAGAGGACATGTAGTGTTTGGTGTTCTGTTTCTGCATGAACTCACTTAGGATTATGGCTTCCAGGTGCCTCCATGTTGCTGCAAAAGACATGATTTCATCTTTTTATGGCTGCATAGTATTCTGTGGTGAATATGTATCTTTTTTACTCAATATTCCATGTCTTTGCTGTTTTGAATAGTGCTATTAATATCATGAACGTACAAGTGCATGTGTCTTTCTGGTAGAATAATTTATTTTTTGGATATATACCCAGCAATAAGAATACTGGCCTAAATGGAAGTTCTATTTTAAATACTTTGAGAAATATCCAAACTGTTTTCTACAGTGGCTTAACTGATTTTCATTCACTACAAGAGTGTACAAGTGTTCCCTTTTCTTCACAGCCTTGCAAGCATCTGCTATTTTTTGTTTTTGGTGATAGTCATTCTGACCGGTGGGAGATGGTATCTCATTGCTGTTTTAGTTTACATTTCTCTAATGATTCGTGATGCTGAGCATTTTTTCATATGTTTATTGGCCACTTATATGTCTTCTTTTGAAAAGTGTCTGTTCATGTCTTTCGTCCACTTTTTAATGGGGTTGTTTTTTGCTTGTAAATTTAAGTTCCTTATATAGTCTGTATATTAGACCTTTGTCAGATGCATAATTTCCAAATATGCTCTCCCATTACATGAGATTTCATTTTACTCTGTTGATAGTTTCTCTTGCTGTGCAGAAGCTCTTTAGTTTAATTAGCTTCCACTTGTAAATTTTTGTTTTTGTCACAATTACTTTGGAGTCTTCATTATGAAATCTTTTCTAGGGCCCATGTCCAGAATAGTATTTTCTAGGTTTTCTGCTAGAATTCTTACAGTTTCCAGTCTTATATTTAAGTCTTGTATCCATCTTGAGTTAATTTTTGTATACGGTAAAAGGTAGGGGGTTCAGTTTCATTCTTCTAGATATGACTAGCCAGCTATCTCAGCACTGTTAATTGATTAGGTAATCCATTCGCCCTTTCTTTTCTTTGTCAACTTGGTCAAAGATTAAATGGCTATAGGTGTGAGACTTTATTTTGGGGTTCTCTATTCTGTTCCATTGGTGTATGTATCTCTTTTTGTGTCAGTACCATGTTGTTTTGTTTACTGTAGCCTTATAGTATATTTTAAAGATGGGTGAAGTGATTTCATTTATTTCTCTTTCCTGATTGGTCTGGCTAGGACTTCCAGTACTCTGTTGAACAGGAGTTCTTTGACCACAATGGAATCAACCTAGAAATCAACAGAAAGATATCAGGAAAATCTTCATGTATTTAAAAACTAAATAACATTCTTCAAAATGATCTATGAGTAAAAAATGAAGTCTCAAGAAAAAAAATCAAAATATACATTCAGTTGATTTAAACTTAAACATATCAAAATTGGTGGTACACAGCTAAGGCAGTGCTGAAAAGAAAATGTGTACCATTACATTCTTACATCAACCAAAAGGTAAAGTCTCAAATCAAAAATCCACTCTCTCACATTAAGAAGTTATTAAAAGAAGACCAAAATAAATTCTAAGCAAGCAGAAAAATGAAACAATAGAGAAAATAACAGAAACTAAATTGAAACAATGTAATCAACAGAGCAAATTAATGAAACAAAAAGCGATTTCTCACCAAATTTAATACAATTTACAAATGTCAAGAGAGGCCAAAGGGGAAAAGAAAAAGACTAACAAACAAGAACACAGAAATCACCAATATCTGGAATGAAACACTAACTGTAGTTTGAGTACAATTGACATTCAATGACAATAAACTACATGTTTTACTTTTTAAATTTTTATTTTATTCTAGATTCAGTAGATATATGTGCATGTTTGTTATATTGGTATATCATGTATTGGTGGGGATTGGGATTCTAGTGTACCCATTACCCAAATAGTGAATATTTTACCTGATAAATTGTTTTTCAACACTTAGCCCCTCCCATTATTCTTTCATTTTGGAGTCTCTAGTGACTATTATTTTCATCTTAATGTCCATGTGTATCCATTGTTTAGCTCCCATTTATAAGTGAGAACATGCAGTATTTAATTTTCAGTGTCCGGATTAGTCCAGTCAATATTGATGAACAGTTAAATTGATTCCATGTATTTGCTATTGAGAATAGTGCTGTGATTAACATATGAGTGTGGGTGTCTTTTTGGTAGAACAATTTATTTTCCTGTGGGTATAAACCCAGTAATTAGATTGTTGGGTTAAATGGCAATTCTGTCTTTAGTCTTTGAGCAATCAACATACTGTTTTCTATGGACTTTGAACTAATTTACAATCCCACCAACAATGTATAAGTATTCTTTTTTTCTCCGCAGCTTTGCCAGTCTCTGTTGTTTTTTGCTTTTTAACAGTAGTCATTCTAACTAGTGTAAGATATCTCACTGTGTTTTTAATTTCAATTTATCTGATGATTAGCAATGTTAAGCATTTTTTCATGTGTTTCTCAGATGCTTGTATGTCTTCTTTTGAAAAAAAAAGTCGGTTCATGTCCTTTTCCTAGTTTTGAATGGGCTTTCTTTTTTTGTTGTTGTTGAGGTGTTTGCGTTTCTTGTAGATCTTGGATATTAGTCTTTAGCCATGGGCATAATTTGCATACATTTTCTGCTATTCTGTATGTTGTCCTTTTACTCTGTTGACTATTTATTTTGGTATGCAGCTTTTTAGTTTAATTAAGTTCAATTTGTCTATTTTTCTTTGTTGTTGCATTTGCTTTTAGTAGGGTCTTTATCACCAATTATTTGCCTAGATCAATGCCCAGAAGTGTTTTTCCTAGATATTCTCATAAAATTTTATATTTTCAGGTCATACATTTAAGCATTTAGTTGATCTTGAGTTACTTTTTGAATATGGTGAGAGATAGGGGTCTGGTTTAATTCTGCTGCATATGGTTAATTTTCTCAGCACCATTTACTGAATAGGCTGTCTTTTCCCTATTGCTTATTTGTGTGAAATTTGTCAAGGATCACTTGGTTGTAGGCGTATGGCTTTATTTAGGCATTCTTCATTCTGTACCATTCATCTATGTGTCTGTTTTTTTTTTCCAGTACTATGCTGTTTTAGTTACTATAGTATTGTAGTATAATTTGAGGTCAGGCAGTGTCCTGTCTCCATATTTGTTCTTTTTGCTTGGGATTGTTTTGGCTATTAAAGTTTTTTTTTGGTTTTATATGAACTTAAGAACTTTTCCAATCCTGTGAAAAATAAAAATGGTAATTGGTAATTTGATTGAGAATGTGTTGAATATATAGATTTTTTTGGGCAGTGAAGTCATTTCTATTATATTTATTTTTTTCAATCCATGAGGATGAAATGTTTCTTCCCTTAGTTTCTGTCATCTATAATTTCTTTCAGCATTGTTTTGTAGTTGTCCTTGTAGAGATCTTTCACCTCATTGGTTACATGTATTCCTAGCAATTTGATTTTTTGTGTGTGCCAGTTGTAAATAGTATTGAGTTCTTAATTTGGTTTTCAGCTTGAAGATTATCGGTGTACAGAAAAGCACATTGATTTTGTATCCTGAAACTTTACTAAAATATTTTATATGTTCCAGGAGTCTTCTGGAGGAGTCTTCAGAGTTGTCTAAGTATATTATTATGTCATCAATGGACAGAGATAATTTGACTTTCTCTTTTCTAATTTGAATGCCTTTTATTTATTTTCCTTGCCTGACTGCTCTATCTAGGACTTCCAGTATTACGTTGAATAGAATGCATTTTTTTTCAAAATAAGGAGCTAGTTGTATTCCAGAAAACAATATTCTAGAAAACAGTTCCATTTTTATATTTATGGCATTATACCTTGATTTACTTAAGACTAATTTTCTTTCATTTGTTTCAAAGAATAAAAAAGTAATTATTGCTATTTTAATTTTTTAAAGTGCTTTATTTAGGAAAGATTGACATACAAAGAGTTGTATAGATTTAATGCATACCAGTTAATGAGATGGGAGATAAGTATAAACCCATGCAAACATCAATATAATCTATAATATAAACCTATCCATCAACTCCAAAAGTTTTCTCCCATCCCCTTTATTACATTATTATTATTACTATTTTGTGATAAGAATAAATAAGATATATCCTCTTAGCAATTTTTTAAAATATAAAATATATTATTGTAAACTATAGGTACTATGCTGCAGTAGGTCTCTAGGTCTTATTTATCTTGTATAACCAATACTGTGGTACCTTTAGCTTATACCTCTACATTTTCTCATGCCCCCAGCACTTTGCTCTTAAGAGTTTGACTATTTTTGATTTATCATATAAGTGGTATTATTTAGAAGGACATTAGACTAACTTCCTGCAATTTTATCCATGTTGTAACAAATGGCAGGAGTTTCTTATTTTCCAAAACTGAATAATATTCTATTATAGGTATAGGCAGTACCCTATTTTCTTTATATATCACCTCATGAATGGACATTTAGCTTGCTCCTCTGTCTTGGCTATTGTGAATTATGCTGCAATGAACATGGGAATGAAGTTTTCTTTGAGATTTTTATTTAAATTCCTTTAGCTATATACTCAGACTTGGGATTACTGAATCATATTATAGTTCCATTTTAAACTTTTAAAAGGCTCTATTCTGTTTTCTATAGTAGCTGCACAAATTTACTTTTTTTTACCAACAATGTACAAGGGTTCATTTTCTTCACATCATTGCCTACACTTTTTACCTTTTGTATGTTTTTTTTAATACAGCCATCCTAACAGGTGTGAAGTAATAGCTTATTGTGATTTTGATTTGCATTTCCCTGATAATAAGTGATGCTGAGCACCATTTTATATACCCATTGACCATTGATATGTCTTCCTTATATAAATATGTTTTCAAGTCCTTGGCCTATTTCTTTAATCAGTTTTTTTTCTGTTTCTTCTTACTATTAAGATTTAAGAGTCTCTTACACTTTTTTGATATTAATCTCTTGGCAGATAAATGGTTCAAAGTATTTTCTCCCATTCTATGGTTTGTTTTTATATTTTGTTTGTCATCTCATTTGCTGTACAGAAGCTTCTTAGTTTGATGTAATCCTATTTGTATATTTTTTGCTTGTATTGTCTGTGGTTTTAGTTGTACATGCACAAAATCATTGCCAAAGCCAATGTTGAGAAATGTCCCCTATGTTTTTTTTCAAGAGTTTTATAATTTCAGGTCATATGTTTGAGTCTTTAATGTATTTTGAGTTGATTTGTATGCCTGGTGTAATCTAAGAGTACAATTTTATTTCTATTTATTTATTTATTTATTTATTTATTTATTTTACCTCAAGTTCTGGGATACATGTGCAGAATGTTCAGTTTTGTTACATAGGTATACATGTGCCATCATAGTTTGCTGTACCTATCAACCTGTCATCTCAGTTTTAAGCCCCACATGCATTAGCTATTTTTCCTGATGCTCTCCCTCCCATTGAGCCTGCTCCCAACAGGTCTCAGTGTGTGTTGTTTCCCTCCCTGTGTTCATGTGTTCTCATTGTTCAACTCCCTCTTATGAGTGAGAACACGTGGTGTTTGGTTTTCTGTTCTTGTGTTAGTTTGCTGAGGATGATGGTTTCCAGCTTCATCTATGTCCTGGTAGAAGACATAATCCATTTTTTTATGGCTGCATAGTATTCCATGGTGTATATGTACCATGTTTTCTTTATCCAGTCTATCATTGATGGGAATTTGGGTTTATATCATGACTTTGCTATTGTGAATGATGCTGCAATGAACATACTTGTGCATGTCTCTTCATAATATAATTCATATAACTTTGGGTATATACTCAGTAATGGGATTTCTGGGTCAAATGCTGTTTCTGGTCCTAGATCCTTGAAGAATCTCCACACTGTCTTCAGCAAAGGTTGAACTAATGTACATCCTTTCCAACAGTGTAAAAGTGTTCCTCTTTCTCCACAGTCTAGCCAGAATCTGTTGTTTCTTGACTTTTTAATAGTTACCATTCTGCCTGGCATAAGATGGTATCTCATTGTGGTTTTGATTTGCATTTATCTAATGATCAGTGATGCTGAGCTTTATTTCATATATTTGTTGGCTGCATAAATGTCTTTTTTTAGAGAAGTGTCTGTTCATATACCTTGCCCTCTTTTCGATGGAGTTTTTTTGTTGTTGTAAATTTTTTTAAGTTTCTTGTAAATTCTGGATATTAGACCTTTGTCAGATGGGTAGATTGCAAAAATTGTCTCTGATTCTGGAGGTTGCCTGTTTGCTTTGATGATAGTTTCTTTTGTTTTGCAGAAGCTCTTTAGTTTAGTTAGATCCCAATTGTCAATTTTAGCTTTTGTTGTAATTGCTTTTGGCAATTTTATCAAAAAATCTTTGTCCATATCAATATCCTTAATGGTATTGCTTCTGTGATTTTTAGAGTTTTTATAGTTTTGAGTTTTACATTTAAGTATTTAATCCATCTTGAGTTAATTTTTGTATAATGGATGAGGAAGAGGTCCTTTTTCAGTTTTCCGCATATGCCTAGCCAGTTTTCCCAGCATCATTTATCAAATAGGGAATCCTTTCCCCATTGCTTGTTTTTGTCAGGTTTGTCAAAGATCAGGTAGTTGTAAATGTGTGGTCTTATTTTTGAGGTCTCTATTCTGTCTCTTTTGGTACCAGTACCATGCTGTTTTGGTTACTGTAGCCTTGTAGTGTAGTTTGAAGTCAGGAAGCATGATGCCTCCAGCTTTGTTCTTTTTGCTTAGGATTGTCTTGGCTATGCAAGCTTTTTTTTGGTTCCATATAAATTTTAAAGTAGTTTTTTCTAATTTTGTGAAAAATGTCAATGGTGGCTTCATGGGAATAGCATTGAATCTATATATTACTTTGGGCAGTGTAACCATTTTCATAATATTGATTCTTCCTATCCATGAGGATGGAATGCTTTTCCATTTGTTTGTGTCCTCACTGATTTCCTTGAGCAGTGGTTTGTAGTTCTTGTCAAAGAAGTCCTTCACATCCTTTGTTAGCTGTATTCCTAGGTATTTTATTCTCTTTGTAGCAATTGTGAATGGGAGTTCATCCATGATTTGGCTGTCTGTCTATCGTTGGTGTATAAGAATGCTTGTAATTTTTGCACATTGATTTTGTATCCTGAGATTTTGCTGAAGTTGCTTACCAGCTTAAGAAATTTTAGGGATGAGATAATTGGGTTTTCTATATATAGTATCATGTCATCTGCAAACAGTGACAGTTTGACTTCCTCTCTTCCTATTTGAATATAGTTTATTTATTTCTCTTACCTGATCACCCTGGCCAGAACTTCCAATACTATGTTGAATAAAAATGGTGAGAGAGGGCATCCTTGTCTTGTGCCAGTTTTCAGAGAAATGCATCCAGCTTTTGCCCATTCGGTATGATATTGGCTATGGATTTGTCATAAATAGCTTTTATTATTTTGAGATGTGTTTCATCAATGCCTACTTTATTGAGAGTTTTTAACATAAAGCCATATTGAAATTTATCAAAGGCCTTTTCTGCATCTATTGAGATAATCATGTGTTTTTTCTCACTACTTATGTTTATGTGATGGATTACATTTATTTATTTGTGTATGTTGAACCAGGCTTGCATCCCAGGGATAAAGCCGACTTGATCATGGTGGATAAGCTTTTTGATGTGCTGCTGGATTCAGTTTGTCAGTATTTTATTGAGAATATTTACATCAATATTCCTCATGGATATTGGCTTGAATTTTTTGTTGTTGTGTCTCTGTGAGGTTTTGGTATCAAGATGATGCTGGCCTCCAACATCGCACCATTGCACTCCAGCCTGGGTGACAAGAGCAAAACTCCATCTCAAAAAAAGAAAAAAAAAAAGATAATGTTGGCCTCATAAAATGATTTACCTTCTTTGCATTGGGTAATATGCTCCTTTACCTCAGCGAAATTTGTTACTACCCACCTTCCGAAGCCTACTTCTATCAATTTGTCGATCTCATTCTCCATCCTATTCTGCACCCTTGCTGAAGAGCTGTTGCGATTATTGGAGAAGAGACATTTTGGTTTTTTGGGGTTTTCTGCATTTTTTCATTGATTCTTTCTCATCTTGATGAATTTGTCTAGTTTTGATCTTTGAGGTTACTGACCCTTGGATGAGGTTTTTGGGGGGACTGTTTTTGGTCGATGCTCTTGTTGTTTTCTGTTTGTTTTTCTTTTAATAGTCAGGTCCCTCTTCTGTAGGGCTGCTGCAGCATGATGGGTGTTCACTTTAGACCCTCTTCTTCTGGTTCACTCCTGCACCTGGAAATGTCACTCCAGGATGATGGAGAACAGCAAAGATGGGTGCCTGAATCTTCCTGGGATGTCTGACGTTGAGGGGCACCAACATGATGCCAGTAGAGACATTTCTGTATAGGATGTCTGACTACCCCTATTCAGGGGTTCTCATTCAGTTGGGGGCATGGGAAGCAGGACCTGTTTAACAAAGACCTTTGGCTGCCCCTTGGTGGAGGAGGTATGCTGCGCTGGGGGGAAACCCACTCATCTGGGCTGCCCAGATTCCTCAGAGTTAGCAGGTGGAAAGACTAAGTCTGCTGATTCATGGAGACTATGCCACCACCCCCCCCCCCCACCATTAGTGGTTTAGGCCCAGGGAGATTAGAGTTCTGTCCCTGAGCTACTGGCTGCAGTTAAATTTTCTGCAGGAAGGCCCTGCACCTGCAGTGTTGGCTGCCACCCCTCCCCCAAGGAGCTCAGATGGCTTAGATATCAGGCAGCCACAGCAGTGGTGATGGCTGCCCCTCCCCCTGGGAACTCGGCCTGCTTAGGCCAAGTCTAGCTGAGTAAGAATCTGCATGGCTCAGTGTTTGGGACCCAAAGCCCTGGTGACATGGTCACACCTCACAAAAGTAGGATCTTTTGATCCATGGGATACACAGTTCCATGGAAAAAGCATGGATTCCCAGGCTGGGGAGCATGCTCACTTCCACCTCTTTTGGCTGGGGGTGGGGGCTCTCCTGCCCCATGTGACTCTCAGGTGAGCCGCTGCACCACACTGCTCTTCCTTCCTCTCTGTGGGTAACGCCAGCCACCCAGTCAGTCCTAATGACAGAACCTTGATACCTCGGTTGCCAGTGCATGATTCACATGCTGCTTTGGATCTTTTCGGTGGGAGCCTCTGATCACTGTTGTTTGTGGTTGGCCATCTTGGCCCTGACTCTTCTTATTCTTTTTTTTGGCATGTGTATATACAGTTTTCCCAACTGATGTGTATATATCAGTTTTCTGCATCTGATACCATTTATTAAAGATGCAATCCTTTCCCCCATTATATATTTTCAGCATCCTTGTCAAAGCTCAGTTGGCTGTATGCTGTAAATTTATTATTGCCTTTAACAGTTTTTAAATGGGTTATTTATTTCTGTTACTGAGTTGTAAGAATCCTTTATGTGTTCTAGATATAATCCATCATCAGATATTCTTTGCAAATATTTTATCTTATTCTCTGTTATTTTTTGCTTACTCTCTTAATATTGTCCTTTGATGCACAAAATTTTGAAGTTTAATAAAGCCTTATATATATAACTTTAATATATATATTTTCATATGTTAATACACGTGTGTGTGTGTGTATATAAATATATCTTATTTTGTCACTCAGGCTTTTGTAATTATATCTAAGAATTGACTGTGAAATCCAAAATCATGGATATTTCTCCTTATGTTTTCTTCTAAGTGTTTTATAGTTTAAGCTCTTTTATTTAGATATTTATTTTGAGTTAATTTTTGTGAAAAATAAAATTTGTCCCAGCACCCCTTGTTGAAACATCTATTATTTCTATCATTGAATAATCTTAACAGTCTTAACAAAAGTCAGTAGACCATAGACACATGGTTTTATTTTTGCACTCTCAATTCCATTCAGTTGAACTACACATCTATCCTTATGTGGGTACTGCATAGTGGTAATCACTGCAGCTTTGTAATGAGTTTAGAAGTTGGAATGTGTAACTCCTCTAAGTTTGTTCTTCTTTGCCCATCTTTATTTTGGATATTCAGCATCGCTTACAATTACATATGAATTTTAGAATCTGCTTTTTCATTGCTACAAAAGAGGCCATTGAGATTTTGATAGGATGTCCATTGAATCTGCAGATTGCTTTGGGCACATTGCCATATTAACAATATTAGATCTTCGAATCTATGAACATGAGATGCTTTTTATTTGCTTATGTCTTATTGCTGTAATCACTGTTTTACAGCTTTCAATGTACAACTTCCGCACCTCCTTGGTTATGATTATTCCTAAGGATTTTATTCTTTTGTTGTTTTTGTAAATGAAAATTTTAAAATTTCTTTTTTGAATTGTTACTAGTATATAGAAATAAAAGTTACTTTTTGGTTTGATCTTGTATCCTGCAACTTTTCTTAATTCATTTATTAGCTCTAATAGTCGTTTGTAGAATCATCAGAATTTTATATACACAAGATCATGTCATCTGCAAACGGTTATGGTTTCACTTCTTCTTTCCCAATTAATAAGTATTTTATTTACTTTTTTTGCCTAATTGTTCTGGATAGAACTTTTAGTACAATGCTGAATAGAAGTCGGGAGAATAGACATGTTTGTCTTGCTCCTGATCTTGCAGGGGAAACTTTCAGTCTTTCACCATTAAGTATTTGTTAGCTTTGGGTTTATCATAAATGTCCTTTTTCATGTTTTGGAAGTTCCCTCTATTCCTAGTTTCTTGAGTGTTTTTATTATAAAATGATGCTGAATTTTGTGAAATTTGCTTCAACTACTAAGAAATTTATAGTTCTCAAAAATAATATCCAAAATTTTTAAAAAGATTAAAAATATTATTTATTTAAGCAAAATAATTATTTCACCCATAGTTTTTCACTTGGACCAGTACTATAGAAAGCGTACTTGTCTTCATACATGTGACTGTATGTATGTGGAATTAGGACATGATTACTGTGATAGTTAATTTTATGTTTCAACTCCACTAATTTGAATTTTCCAGATAGCTGAGAAAATATTTCTGGGTGTGTCTGTGAGGCTGTATCTAGAGGAGATTAACATTTGAATCAGTATCCTGAGTGAAGAAGATCCCCCCTCACCAATGTGGATGAGCATAATGCAATTCATTGAGAGCCGAATAGAGCAAAAAAAGGTGAAGGGGGCAAATTTCTTGCTCTGTTTTAATGAGCGGAGACATCCATCTTCTGCCCTGGGGCATCACAGGTCCTGTTTCTTAGGCCTTCTGACTCCGAGACTTATGCCAGCACTCCTCCCATAACTCTTTTTTATGTTTCTCAGGGCTTCAGACTCAAATGAAATTACACCACTGATTTTCCTGGTCCTCCAGCTTATATAGGGTATATTGTAGGGCTTGATGGCCTCCATAAATGTGTAAACCAATTCCCATAACAAATCTTCTCTTACATATCAATATATATACTGTTGGTTATGTTTCTCTGAGGAACTTCGATTAATACAGATATTGATACTGAGAAAGGTTCTATCGGAACAGAATTTTAAGGATCAGTTTTTGAAATTTGGTTTTGGGGTTTCTGGAATTGACTGTCTTATCTGATTAGGTTTATGATGCAAATGACTATTTCCAGTGGTAAAGAGAGCATAGCTTCAAATGTTTATAGAAATATGCAAAATATCTGCATCTGATACTCCTAGTCAACCGCTTATAAGAAGCAAGGAGCTAAGTAATTCTGTATATGATAGTTTTGAACATTTTTTGCAAACTAAGAAATGTAATTACATTGGTTGCTTGGTTCTAATTGTTCTAGGACAAAGTGAGGAAAAAATAATGAACTCAGGGGTTCAAATTCCAAACTTAAAAGCCACATAAATGTCCTAACATCTTCCAGGTGTGCCCTGAGGATGAGCCTTATCTCCTATAGCCACAGGGCTGAAATTGCTGAAAATTAAAGTGCAAGACTCCATCCTATAATTGGCTAATTTACAAGGCATGTTGAATTCCCAGACTCACGAAACGTCTACAGTTAAACAGAAGGCATAGAATGGGAATAATAAAATACTGTAAATTGGGATGGGGATGTCTTGAAAGACTCTGATTAAATTAGGCACCTTGAGCCCCTAAATTTTGGTGAGTCTTTTTTGCCAGTGGAAGACTTCTCTTCTTCAAGGAAATAAAAGCTCCACCGCCAGTTGTAGCAGTCTCTACACCTACAGTGTTATTAGCTTTTCCACATTTATCTGAGCATATTTACCCTGCATTGCCTGATAAAATGGTAATGGCTTTTCACTGAGGCAGTTGTCATGAAATACAAAGCTGAATCTCCTTAGAATTCACTCTCATTACCTCTTCTTGCTCCTAGACTTATACACTGGCTTATGTCCAAGCAGATCCTTAAAAATGAGATACAAAGTGTGAGCCCTCCAAAAGTGCACTACAATTCAAAATAAGTACTTCAGTTTTCTAATATATATAAGCCAAAGGTAACGGAACAAGTGTGGGAATTGATATTAAGGGTGTTCATAATGGTAGAAGGACATAAATTTGAATTTGATTGAATTTAGTGATGAGAGCCCACCAAACAAAGATTCTGCATTTAATATTGTAGCTTTTGAAGTTAGATCAGGCTCTATCAGTTTGTTTGGTTGGTTGGCTAAAATATGAATCAAAAGAGGGTCCACAATGAGCAAATTTAAAATACCCAAACTTCCTTGGTTAAATATAAAGAAAGGAATTCAAAGTCTTAGAGAGATTAAAATGTTTGAGTGGATTTATCATTTAAGACCTATTTAACCACTCAAGGGGGCAAAAGTCAGAAGATGTGTCTTTCATCAATGCTTTTAGATATAAATTTATGAGGAAAGCCTTAGCATCTTTGACAAGCTCCATAATCATTGTTTTCTGTAGTCCAAACCTTATAGTGGAAACCACAAACACTCCCAACAAAAACAACAAAAAAACCTATATTCAATAGCAGTAATTGGATCTTTGGGTGGCAGAGGCCAAGTGGTAGCAATCAACTGCCAAAGGCAAGGTCACTGTAGATATTGTAATGAAAAGCAGAGGTAAAATAACAATCAAAATAGTCTGACTCACACAGACTTGTGGCATTGGCTGATTTATCATGGTGTTCTAGAAGCAAAATAGACACAATGGGAGAAAATTTTCACAACCTACTCATCTGACAAAGGGCTAATATCTAGAATCTACAATGAACTCAAACAAATTTACAAGAAAGAAACAAACAACCCCATCAAAAAGTGGGCAAAGGACATGAACAAACACTTCTTAGAAGAAGACATTTATGCAGCCAAAAAACACATGAAAAAATGCTCACCATCACGGGCCATCAGAGAAATGCAAATCCAAACCACAATGAGAAACCATCTCACACCAGTTAGAATGGCAATCATTAAAAAGTCAGGAAACAACAGGTGCTGGAGAGGATGTGGAGAAACAGGAACACTTTTACACTGTTGGTGGGACTGTAAACTAGTTCAACCATTGTGGAAGTCAGTGTGGCAATTCCTCAGGGATCTAGAACTAGAAATACCATTGACCCAGCCATCCCATTACTGGGTATATACCCAAAGGATTATAAATCATGCTGCTATAAAGACACATGCACACGTATGTTTATTGCGGCACTATTCACAATAGCAAAGACTTAGAACCAACCCAAATGTCCAACAATGATAGACTGGATTAAGAAAATGTGGCACATATACACCATGGAATACTATGCAGCCATAAAAAATGATGAGTTCATGTCGTTTGTAGGGACATGGATGAAATTGGAAATCATCATTCTCAGTAAACTATCGCAAGGACAAAAAACCAAACACCGCATGTTCTCACTCATAGGTGGGAATTGAACAATGAGAACACATGGACACAAGAAGGGGAACATCACACTATGCGGACTGTTGTGGGGTGGGGGGACGGGGGAGGGATAGCATTAGGAGATATACCTAATGCTAAATGACGAGTTAATGGATGCAGCACACCAGCATGGCACATGTATGCATATGTAACTAACCTGCACCTTGTGCACATGTACCCTAAAACTTAGAGTATAATAATAATAAAATAAAATAAAAAAAGAAGCAAAATAGAAAGCTTACTAAATTCATACTTAATTTGCATAAACAAAAAAAGTTCCAGACCAAATGAATAAGTATATCATAAATCATGTAAACAGAGTCATGGCCCCTCAATCAATTTCCAGAGTTGAGCCTATTTGCAAACCCACTATCCCTTAAGTGAAAGGGACGCTAGATTTTCTTGAGGAAGGACCTTGGTGCACCACTGAAAATTTATATTATTCATATCTTTCTCAGCGTTCCCCAAAGGGTAACTGTGCATTAGAAAAAAAGAAAAATAATCAGGTTTTATTGAGACTCCAGATCCTTGCTCTGAACTTACATTGATTCTAGGAGACCCTTAAAGGTAACTGTGACCCCCCAGTTAGAGTAACAGCTTACAGAGGCCAGAAAATCAATGGAACCTTTAGTTCAGGTCTATCTTACAGTGGACCCGTTGGGTCCCTTAACCCATTCTGCAGTTATTTCCTAATTCCAGAATGCATAATTGGAATAGACATATTTAGCAAATAGCAGAATTTCCACATTGGTTTCTTGACCTATAAAGTAAGGGATAGTATAGTAGAAAAGGTCAAATGCAAGCCATTATCTAGGAAACTGCCTTTATCCAGGAAAATAGTAAATTAAAAGCAATACTGCATTTCTTGAGGCATTGCAGATACTAGGGCTACCATCAAGGACTTGAAAGATGTAGGGGTGGTGATTCCCACCACATCCCAATTCAACTCTTCTATTTGGACTGTGAAGAAGAGAGATGGATATTGGAGGATGACCATAGATTACTGTAAGCTTAGCCAAGTGATGACTCCAATTGCAGGGGCTGCACCTGATGTGGTTTTGTTGCTTGAGCAAGTAGACCCATCCCTGGTACCTGATATGCAGCTATTTAGCTGGCGAATACCTTTTTCTCCATCCTATTTACAAGGCCCACCAGAAGCAATTTGCTTTTATCTAGCAAGGCCAAGAGTATACCTTCACTGTTCTACCTCAGAGGTATATCAACTCTCCAACTCTATATCATAATGTAGTTAAGAGAAATCTAGACTGTCTCTTTCCACAAAATATCATGCTAGTTATTTAGATTAATGTCATTATGCTGATTAAGACTTGTCAACAAGAATTAGTTTTTAGGCACAATATATTTTGAAGGCATCACTCAAAACTGTAACTACAGAACTTCTATGAGACATCACTGAAGGACACTGGTAAAGGTAAATTTTCCCAATGGGCAAAACGTTGAGTGCTGCACCTGGTTGTGCTTCTTGCTTAGAAGGCAAAATGGCTAGAAATGCAATTATATAACAATTTATCATCTGTAGCCAATCGTTTGAGTGGATGGACAGGAAGCAGAAAGAAACATAATTGGAGAATTGGTGACCAAAAAAAATTTGAGGAGAAGACATAGGGATAAATATCTCTGAATGATAAAAAATTATGAAGATATTTGTGTCCTGTGTGAGTGTTTCCAAAGGATGAACCCAGCAGAGAAGGATTTAACTAATCAAGTGGATAGAATGATGCATTCTATAGATACCAGTAAGCTTGTTTTGCCAGACAACTCTGTCATTGCTGAGTGGACTCATGAAAACGGCAGCCAGAAATGAAGGTTTGGGTTATCCTACCAGATAAAGAACCACAAATAGCATAAGTGCTTGCCAAAGGGAAAGGTAATACAGGATGGACAGCAGAACAAAGTAGTTATAAATACTAGCTACTACCATGTAACCAGTTACAGAAATAAGGACTGTAATTGTCATGAGCATGTTTTTCTCATTTTGTAATGAATGACATTCGTGTGTGGATGTGAATTATTACACACACATACACATTTAACATATGAAAATACATATTTTGAGCAATTTTTTTCTTTCCCTTATCAAATAACTTTAAATGTATTGACTATATCAATATTTAAGTATTGTTAATTTTACATTGTAATATTTAAGTTACAGAAAATCAGGAAAAAATACACATCACTGAAAGACTTTACCTCCACTCTGAGGGTAGGAATTAATGTATTTTTGTTTGTACACAGAACAGTTGTATTACGTTAAGCAGAGTTATTTCTTTATTATTGTCTTTATTTGGAGATTAAGTATAGTTGAAGGAGCTGTGTATGCATGTCAAGTTGACAAGTGGTGGAATTTTGATGGTTAATTTTCTTTGTCAACATCACTGGGTTAAGAGAATGCCCAGAGTGCTGGTAATAGATTATTTCTGGGTGTGTATGTGAGGGTGTGTATTAGTCCATTTTCATGCTGTTGATAAAGGCATACCCGAGACTGGGCAATATATAAAATAAAGAGGTTTAATGGACACAGTTCCACATGGCTGGGGAGGCCTCACAATCATGTCAGAAGGTGAAAGGCATATCACAGATGGTGGCAGATGAGAAGAGAGTATCTGCAGAGAAACTCCCCTTTTAAAACCATCAGAATTAATGAGACTTATTCACTATTACAAGAACAGCACAGGAAAGACCTGCTGCCATAATTCAATTACCTCCCACTGGGTCTCTCCCACAACATGTGGAAATTCAAGACGATATTTGATTGAGGACACAGCCAAACCATGTCATTCCATCCCTGGCCCTTCCCAAATCTCATGTCCTCACATTTTGAAACCAATCATGCCTTCCCAAGAGTCCCCCAAAGTCTTAACTCATTTTAACTTTAACTCAAAAGTCTACAGCCCAAAGTCTTATCTGAGACAAAGAAAGTCACTTCAGTCTATGAGCCTGTAAAATCAAAAGCAAGTTAGTAGCTTTCTAGATACAATGGGGGTACAGGCACTGGGTAAATACAGCCATTCCAAATGGGAGCAATGGGCCAGAAAAAAAGAGGCCACACGCCCCATGCAAGTGCAAAATCCAGTGGGGCAGTCAAATCTTAAAGCTGCAAAATTATCTCTTTTGACTCCATGTCTTACATCCAGGTCATGGTGATGCAAGAGGTGGGTTCCTGTGACCTTGGACAGGACAGCCTCTGTGGCTTTGCAAGGTTCAGCCTCCCTCCTGGCTGATTTTACAAACTGGCATTGAGTATCTGCAGCTTTTCCATGTTCACAGTACAAGCTGTCAGTAGATCTACCATTCTTGGGAGTGGAGGATGGTGATCTTCTTTTTACAGCTCCACTAGGTGGTGCCCCAGTAGGAACTCTGTGTGGGAGCTCTGATCCCATGTTTTCCTTCCATACTGTCCAACCAGACGTTATCCATGACGGCCCTGCCCTTGATGCTAACTTCTGCCTGGACATCCATGTGTTTCCATACATCCTCTGAAATTCAGGTGGAGGTTCCCAAAACCCAATTCTCGACTTCTCTGCACTCACAGGCTCATTGTCACATTGAAGGTGCTAAGGCTTGGGGCTTGCACCCTCTGAAGCCATGGCCCAAGTTCTACATTGGCCCCTCTTAGGCATGACTGGAGCTGGGATGCAGGTCACTAAGTCCCTAGGCTACACACAGCACATGGACCCTGGGCCTGGACCTCAAAACCATTTTTTCCTTCTAGGCCTCTGGGCCTGTGATGGGAGGGACTGCAGTTAAGACCTCTGAAATGCCCTGGAGATATTTTCCCCATTGTCTTGGTGATTAATATTTGGCTCCTTGTTAGTTATGCAAATTTCTGCAGTGGGTTTGCATTTGTCCTCAGAAAATGAGATTTCCTTTTTTGTCACATTGTCAGGCTCTAAATTTTCCAAAGTTTTATGCTGTTTCCCTTTTAAAACTGAATGCCTTTAACAGCATCCAAGCCACTTCTTGAATGCTTTGCTGCTTAGAAATTTCTTCCAAGAGATACACTAAATCATCTCTCTCAAGTTCAAAGTTCCACAAATCTCTAGGGCAGGGGTAAAATGCCACCAGTCTCTTTGCTAAAACATAACAAGAGTCACCTTTGCTCCAGTTCCCAACAAGTTCCTCATCTCCATCTGAGACCACCTCAGCCTGGATTTCACTGTACGTGTAATTATCAGCATTTTTGTCAAAGCCATTCAACAAGTCTTTAGGGAGTTCCAAATTTTTCTACATTTTGCTGACTTTTTCTGAGCCCTCCAAACTGTTCCAACCTGTTACCCAGTTCCAAAGTAACTTCCACATTTTCAGGTATCTTTTCAGGAGCACCCCACTCTACTGGTACCAACTTACCGTATTAATCCTTTTTCACACTGCTGATAAAGACATACCTGAGACTGGGCAATTCACAAAAGAAAAAGGTTTAATCGACTTACATTTCCACATGACTGGGGAGGACTCACAATTATGGCAGAAGGTAAAAGGCATGTCTCACATGGCAGCAGGCAAGAGAAGAGAGCTTGTGCAGGGAAACTCCCCTTTTTAAAACCAACAGATCTCATGAGATGTATTCAATATCACAAGAATCACAACACGTGGGAATTCAAGTTGAGATTTTGATGTAAACACAGCCGAACTATATTAGGGTCTTTCTGTAAGAGATTAACATTTGAATAAGTAGGTTGAATGAAGAAGATCTGCTCTCATCAATGTGGGTGGGCATCATCCAATCTGTTGAGGAACTGAGTAAAACAAAAAGGAGAAAGGGTGAATTCTTTCCTTTCTTTAGCTGAGACATTGTCTACTCCAGCCCTCAGACATGACATCTGATTTTTGCGCCTTGGGATCTGGAACTTACACCAACACTCTGTCCTCCCATCTCCCTATCCCCACCCTGTTTTCAGGCCTACAGCCTTTGAACTGAATTATACCACTGGCTTTTCTGGTTCTCCAACTTGGAGACAGTATTTGGTGGAGCTTTCTCAACTTTGATAATTATGTGAATTATGAATCATGAATCTCCTCAGATCTATCTATCTATCTATCCTACTGTTTCTGTTTCTCGGGAGAACTAACACAGTTGCATTACTTACGATGCATGTTTCTCTGATTATTAACATATTTCACCTCTGTAGACAAGGCATCATCCTTCTAAAATGTTCTACCAAAAATACTTCGCTGCTCTTAGCCAGGACAGTTTAAAGCAGTAGAACCATCAAATGCCTTTAGCCTTCACAAAATCCTTCACTAAATATAACCCTGTTTTTTATTTCTCTAATTACTTCCTAACAACTGAAAGTTTATTACATGTTATAGGAACATAGGGGAATAGAAGGACTATATATACTAGGTTTCTATGCCAGTGTTTGGGAATGTTGTCTCTTGTGTATTTAGTATGGAGACCCTTACAGAGTGTTGAGAGCTTCCACTGAGCCTTGTTAAAAAAAAAAAAAACTGTGTATTTGCTGTTTTTAGATTGAGGCAGACTTGGTAGTACAGAAGGCATAAGGGGAGTTGAGCATGTGAAAACGCGGCATCGTTCAAGATTCACCTCATACCTGAAAGTGAATGCAAGTTTTCATTTTGATGGAGATGGAAGGAGGAGAGACTTCATACAAAATGTTTTCATGCCAAAACCTTCACTGATGCCTAGTTCCTAGTTGTCTTCACAGCTTTCAGATGAGCTATTAATTAAAGTGCTCATGTGTGGAGTTTACAAAGGATTATATTGAAATATTTTTTGACCATTGTCTCTGATTTAGTGAGCAAAACACTCTTAATGAACAATTTTTAAGCTTTGGAGATAGAGAAGTGATTATAAATTTTTCAAGTGTCTTCCTCAATATAATCTTTTATTATAATTTCTTTTTGTTTTTCTTTAATGTACTTTCTCTAATAAAGTGATTTTCTTTTCTTTTTTCTTAAAAAAGAATTTTTAATAACAAAGGTTATTCCTTTACTGAAAAAACATTTTCCACACAAAAATGAGTAGAAAAAAACACAGAAAAAAGACAGAAGAAAAGCAAGAATGAAGGAAGAAAGGAAGGAAGGAGAGAGGGAGGGAGGGAAGGAAGGAAGGAAGGAAGTAAGGAAGGAAGGAAGGAAGGAAGGAAGGAAGGAAGGAAGGAAGGAAGGAAGGAAAAGAAAGGGAAAGGAAGAAAGGGGAAAAGGAAGGAGAAAGAGAAGCAGGAAAGAAAGAAAGAAAGAAAGAAAGAAAGAAAGAAAGAAAGAAAGAAAGAAAGAAAGAAAAAGAAAGGAAGGAATAAAAGAAAGAAAGAATAGAAGAAAGAAAAGTATAAGTCAACCATAATTTCATTATCCTTACTGATATGTTTCAGCTCTGTGTCCCCACCTAAATCTCACACCGAATTGTAATTCTCCAATGTAGGAGGTGGGTACTGGTGATAGGCAATTGAATCATGAGGGTGGTTTCTAATGGTTTAACACTTTCCCTCTAGTGCTATCTCATGTAGAGTTCTCACGAGTTTTGGTTGTTTAAAAGTGTGTAGCACCACCTTCTTCACTCTTCCTTCTGCTCAAGCCATCCATGACATGCCTGCTTCCCTTTTGCCTTCCACAATTATTGTAAGTTTCCTGAGGCCTCCCCAGCCATGCTTTCTCTACAGCCTGTGAAATTGTGAGCCCATTAAACCCTTTTTCTTTTTCAATTACCCATTTCTCAGGTAGTTCTTTATAGCAATGCAAGAATAGAATAATACAGAAAATCAATATGAGGGAAGTGGGACATTGCTATAAAGATACCTAAAAATATAGAAGCAGCTTTAGAACTGGGTAATGGGGAGAGGTTGGAACAGTTTGGAGGGCTCAGAAGAAGATAGGATGATGAGAGAAAGTTTGGGACTTCCTAGAGATTTATTAAATTGTTGTGACCAAAATGCTGATAATGATACGGACAATGAAGTACAGGCTGAGGTGATCTCAGATGAAGATGAGAACTGGAGTAAAGGTCACTCTTGCTATGCTTTAGCAAAGATATTGGTAGCATTGTGCCCTGTCTTAGAGATCTGTGGAAATTTGAGCTTTAGAGAGATGATTCAGGATATCTGGCAAAAGAAATATTTAAGCAGCAAAGTATTCAAGATATGGCCTAGCTGCTTGTAACAGCATAAAATCATATGTGTGAGCAAACAGATGATTTGAAACTGGAACTTATATTTAAAAAGGAAGTGGAGCATGAAAGTTTAGAAAATTTGCAGCCTGACCATGTGGTAGAAAATTCCAACCTATTTGCTGAGGAGGAATTCAAGCTGGCTGCAGAAATTTGCATAAGTAAAGAAGAGCCAAATGTTAATAGGTAAGACACTGGGGAATATGCCTCGAAAGCATTTCAGAGATCTTTGTGACAACCCTCCCATCTCAGGCCTGGAGTCTAAGAGGAAATAATGGTTTTGCAGGCTTGGCCGAGGGCTCTGCTTCCCTGTGCAACCTCAGGACACTGCTCCCTGTGTGCTGGCCACTTCAGCTCTAGCCATGGCTAAAAGGGCTTCAGAAATGACTCAAGCCACTGCTCCACTGTTCCAGAAGGTGCCAGCCATAAGTCTTGGCAACTTCCATATGGTGTTAAGCCTGCGGGTGTGAAGAGGACAAGAGTTGAGGCTTGGAAGCCTCAACATTCAGGTGGAAACACCTGAATGTCCAGGCAGAAAAATGCTGTAGGGATGAAGTGCTCATGGAAAACCTCTACTAAGACAGTGAGGAGGGAAAATATGAGGTTGGAGGAGGCCCTACACATAGTTGTTACTGAGGCACTGCCTAGAGGAGCTCTCAGGGGAGGGCCACTATCCTCCAGACTCCAGGATAGTCAATCCACTGACAGCTTGCACCATGACCCTGGAAAAGCCACAGGCACTCAAGACCAGCCCATGAAAGCAGCCGTGGGGGCTGTACCCCACATAGCCACAGGGGTGGGGCTTCCCAAGGCCATAGGAGCCCACCTTTTGCATCATTGTGGCCTGGATGTGAGTCATGGAGTCAAAGGAGATTATTCTGGAGCTTTGAGATTTAATGACTGCCCTGTTGGTTTTTGGACATGCATGGGGTCTGTAGCCCCTTTGTTTTGGCCAATTTCTCCCTTTTGGAATGGGAGCATTTACCCAGTGCCTGTACCCCTATTGTATCTTGGAAGAAACTAACTTATTTTTGACTTTACATGCTCACAGGTGGAAGGGACTTGCCTTGTCTCAGATGAAACTTTGGACTTGGACTTTTGAGGTAACGCTGGAATGAGTTAAGACTATGAAGCACTGTTGAGAAGGCATGATTGTTTTTGTAATGTGAAAAGGACATAAGATTTGGGAAGGCCCAGGGGCAAAATGATGTGGTTTAACTTTGTGTCCACACCCAAAACTCATGTTGAATTGTAATCCCCAGTGTTGGAGGTGGGGCCTGGTGGAAGGTGATTGGATCATGAGGATGGTTTATAATGGTTTAGCACCATCACCCTAATGCTGTCTTGGAATTCTTATAAGATCTGGTTGTTTACATGTTTGTAGCACCTCCCACTTCACTGTCTTCCTCCTCCATGTAGGACTTACCTGCTTCCCCTTCATCTTCCATCATAATTGTAAATTTCCTCCACAGGAAGCTTCCCTAGCCTTGCTTCTTGTGCAGCCTGTGAAAAATGCGATCCAATAAAACCTCTCTTCTTTATAAATTACCCAGTTTCAGATAATTCTTTACAGCAATGTGAGAATGGACTAATACACATGATTTAATGGAAACCATTAACATTTGAAATATAATGCTAATAAGGTTTTGCAATCTACTTCTCTTACTAACAGTATACCGTGAACATCTCTCCTTTGTGAATAATCATTTATATCCCCATTTTATTTGGCTGCAAAGTATTCATTTTTTTGATTGTGTAGGTCACAAGTTATGTTACAATTTAAGTTGTCACCAATATTTTGTTATTATAAACTATACTGTGATGAGCATCCTTGTAGATAATATGTTTGTATCCTTGATTATTTCTTTAGGTTAAATTCCTAAAAGTTGAAATGTAGGGCCAAAGTCAAAATAATGCTCCTTTTCTCAGAGATTTGAAATGCAAAATTACTCTCCAAAGACTAGTATTTTTATAGTCCTTTACCTTTTATAAATTTCTGTCGCATGAACTCATGTAATCTTTACTAATATTATTAGAGATGGGTATTGTTACTATCCCCATTTTGCTGAATAAGAAACAGATTCAGGGAAGCTAAGTCAAATAAAACCAAGGTTAGAGAGCCACTAATGACTCAGACTCAGTTTATCTGACTCCAAATAGTATGTTCTTTCCATGACACCACAGTTGGTTGTTACTAGTTTTCACATTTTGGGTTGCTTCAAAATGAAGCACATGATACCTAATCATGTACATGTCTTACTGACAGAGTCTAGCAGATACTTTCTTGCTCTCAAATTGACATTAATCTTTGGTCATTAAAGCCTTTAAAAGAACAACTTCTTTAATGTGGTTATGGCATTTATGATAGTATATTAATTTAGACTACCAGCAGTTTCATCACTGTTTCATATTTTCCTTTTTAAAAATCTTGGCCAATTCTAGATGTCCCCATATAAGTATCTCATTGTTTTTATGTACCTTTTTTTATTTCTAGAAGTTTACTTTTATACTCTATTTTCTTCCTAGTCTTTTTTCATGGCGCTTCTGTGTGTATATCTGTTTTATTCTCTTTCTCTGATTTGCTTTCTGACTCTTTCTATCTCACTATGTATATCTGTCTCTGTCTCTCTTTTACTCTCTCTTTCACACACCTATGCATGCACACACAAACACATTCCCACACAACTCTCTCCCTACAAAAGAGATGTTCCTTTTAAAGCTTTAATAACCAAAGTTTAATAAGTTGAAAGCAAGAAAGCATCGGATGGACTATATTAGTAAGACATGGACATGATTAAGTATTATGTGCTGCATTTTGAGACAATCCAAAATGTGAAAGCCTATAACGACTGACTGTTGTGTCATGGAAAAATAGTACTTAGAGTCAGATAACCTAAGTATGTTCCCTTAGTGGCTCTCTAACCTTGGGTTTACTTCACTTAGTTTCTCTGAGCTTATTCTCTAATTAGTGAAATGGACACAGAAACAATACCTATCTCTAAAAATTTTAGTAGGGATTATATGAGTTTGTGTGACATCTCTTTATATACAGTAAAGTGCTATAAAATAACTGTTTTTATGTTCATCGTTCCTTAGTACAAAGAAGGTGTTCAGATTCTCTGAAATGAAACCTGACTCTATCATCTGCCAGCTGTATGACCTTAGACAAATTATTTAAACGTTCTGAATCTCAGTTTTATCACGTAAAAAATGGAGATAATATCATCTATTTCATATGATTTTTTTTCAAAGTTAAATGCATACTTCTTTGCTAAATGTCTGGCATATAATCAGTGTTCAGTAAATATTTGATTTTTGCTACTGTCATCCAGGATTGTGCCAGGTTATCATTTTACATTTGTCAGAACGCTTGTTGGAACCTGATTGCACTTTGCTCTTGTAATTTTCCAGCACACAGGTAACTTCTGGTGGAATAGTATCAGTAACTCACAGAAACTCAGAATAACACATAATTACATAAATTTTTTCTCTTTTAAGATCTAGGGCTTGTCTCTTTTTATTTCATTAAATTTTCTCTGTTTGTATCTTCCATCTTTCTTACTGCATCCTCAGTGTCTACTAAATAATACCACTCAGTTAATGTTTGCTGTTGACAGTTGTATGATTTGAGGGATAACAGAAAGTGCATACATTGCTCAAGTATTTTAAATTACATATTTTAGACTTTTAATAAAGTATTGACATCTCCCTCATCATCTTTTAAACTATAAATATTCAATGCATTCATGTCAAGTTGTCAGAGACTTCATCATAGACTCATGTGTCTGAAAAGAATATCAAACTTGTTTCCTTGAGGATAAGCTTTGCAAAACTCCAAGAAGAATAATTAATAATTAATAAGCATTTCTAGACATGTCATTGTTAAAAAAGTGCCTTTCTTAAAGGGACCAATGTACAGTTCAACAGTACCTGTTTCCCTGAACAGCCACTGCAATCACATATTACCATTTCCTTTATTTTTTGCTATTTTTATAGAAGAAATATATCTAATATTTCCATTAATTTGTATTTAATTGATATCGAGATTGGATTTTTTTGTGTTTATGAATACCTTTATTGTTTTTTAGTGAAATATGAGGTTATGTATTTTGTCCATTTTTTTCATGGGGATATTCATCTTTTGTCGTATTCATTTATAATAACTCTTTGTTTTCTAAAGGTAACTTTTTTTCTGTTGTATAGATTGCAAACACCTTCCCCCAGTTTGGTACTTGCCTTTTGATTTTATTTATTGTGCATTTTGACATAGATTTTAACTATTTTTATGTAATGAAAATTTTAGCCATTCAATGGCCTACTATTCCTCTTAAAACAAAACCCAAACTTTTTAATCATAGCTGCAAGACAATCCATAATCTAGCTCATACTTACCTCTCCAAATTTATCACATACCACTTTTCCATACCTCACTATTATCTGTGATCGTGGTCTTTTCGTGTTACATGGACATGCTAGCTCAATTATCTCCTCAGAGTCTTTGCACATGCCATCTCTTCTGCCAAGCAGCTCTTGCCCAAGTCTTTGTGACTGACATCTTCACATTATTCAAGTCTCAACATAAATGTCACTTCATCAACTCTTTCATTGACCACCTACTCTTGTTAGTTTCCTGTATTTTGTTTCACATAATTCAATTTATTTCCTTTATCACACTCTATATAGTTAATAACTAGCTTTTTCTCTGCTATTTTCATTCTATGAGGGCAGAAACTGTTTTGCCTTGTTCACCTGTATATACCTAGTATTGAGAAAGCACCCAGCAAATAGTAAATGTTCAATAGAGATCCATTAAATGGATAATTAAATATCTCACTTTATATTTTATATTATGAATCAATTTTATATAGTTGGCTTATATTAAATATATATAACTTTGTATACTCATACCAAATCCAACTTGCATTTTATATTAATCAACCTTGTAACGTAAGTGTTTTCTTACTGCATTAAAATATTCATAAAGTAATTTTAATGGGTCTACAACATTATATCAGATAGATATAGTATAGTTTATGTAATCATTCTTTTGACGTTTGTCATTTACACTGCTTGCAATTGTTTGCACTAGAATAAACCTTTATGTGAAAACCAGTTTTTTCAAATGTAACTTACTAAGATATTCCTCAAAGTGCAATTACTAAGTTAATGCGAGTGAACGTCTTTAAAGTTCTTGACACATTATGCCAAATTGCTTTCCTGAAAAAGAGTTATCTTTTTTCCTTATACTAAAATATTAGCAAGACTAGTCTCCCATGCATTGTGAGTACACAAAACCACTTCTAAACATTATTTATAGAAAGATGAACTTTGGGAAGGGGACATTGGAAATTCCCACTGCTAGATATTCCTTCGTCCCATAGTCTCCAAAAACTCTATTTTAAATGTCTATATATCCTGAAGGGTAATCTATGATGCCCTAAGGAGGCATGAACACATTATCATAAATTATGTTATTAAATTGAAGACTTTGGATCAAAACCCTGAGGTAATGAGGCATAAACCAGTTAAGTTTTGATAAGCACATGTATAGGGTATAATGTAGGATAGAAAATATATAGATCTTAATGAATTGCTTCAATGGCAGAGATTGTCCTATTTCACTTTATGCTCTCAGTGATCTAGAAAAGTGCCTTTCATTCATTGCAAGTATAGAGTGAATAGTAAAACAAATTAGAGCCCTTTCATACTCATTATTTAACCTTCACAACAGTCTTGAAAGAAAAATACTGGTAGCTTCTCTTAATATATGAGAAAACTGAGGCTCAGAAAGTCCCAGGGAAATAACACAAAATAACTTGCTTGAGATCAAACCACAAGTAAGTAGAAAAACCGGGACTTGAAGTCTGTCCGTTTGACTTGAAAGCCAAGCTTCTACTTCACTATGCAGATTATCTGAGTGAGTGAAGAAAAGAATGACAGGACAGAGACTGTCATGACAGCAGGTGAAAGAAACAAAGCCTCTGTCCACCCACACTGGGGAAGTGAAACAATCTCTAAAGCCGGTAGAAGTCAAGAAAAAGTGAGGGAAAACTAAGACTGACTTCTTCCCATAGTATCCCGTTCCCTCTCTCTTTTTTTCACATCATTTACAAGCATATTATTATTCTGATGTGCCTTCCTTATGGTTTGTGTGTGTTTTCCATCATAGGGAGAACTTGGCTACCCTCATTTGGTCTGTGGCTGGAAGCAATGTGTGTCCAAGACATCTTTAGATATATGTCAAAAATCCAAGTATAGCCACACTGTGTTTCAGGAACTAGTGACTCATTGCTGTGGCTTGTAGATGACATAGAAAGCAACTCAGTATTACTTGTTTAAGTAAGTTTGATTTTCCAAAGAAAAACATAGGCTAAATTCCTCTCCCTAAAACACTTAATGTGTTTTGAACAGCAAGAAGAAATATTTTTTTCATGCAGTGAAATGAGGATTTATATTTCTTGGTGGTCTGCTAATTATATGATGAAAGCCTTTAAAGTTACCCCTCTAAAGACACAGTTCTTAGTTTTAAAAATATGCTAGACTTCCCCCAAATACAGCATTCACCCATGTTTTAAACTTTGTTTTAATTTTGTCTGTCTGTCGGTCTGTCTCTCTCTCTCTCTCTCTCTCTATATATATATATATATATACACACATACATACATATATGTATAAAACACATACATATGCACATACACACCACACACATGCATATATATGTATAAAACACACACATATATATGCACATAGGCACTATATATCTATATAGATACAGTTATGGATATATATACAGTCTTTTGACCTGGACAGAGACTGTCTATAGAGACTGTTAGCAAATATTTCTTCTTTCTCAAATTTGGATGAGACCGATCATGTACATTGAAAACTAAAAATTACCTTCTATGGGTCAAGTGTATATACGTTGCCAAGTGTCTGAAGGAATTCTAAAGGTCATTTGTTCTGGAACGTGATGGTAGAATCCATCATTGGATTCCATTCCTGATAAAATGATGAAAATGTATGATGCATATGTGCTTTCTGTCCTCTTTGACCGCTTAATAATAACTAGGAAGGGACGGCCAGATAATTCTTGTTGCTTTATTAATTCACCCCTCACAGATTGACACATGTTTGAATTTTCCTCTTAAAGTTAGTTTTATTTTCAGTTTGGGAAGAAGGGAAAAGAAGGATTGATAAGGCAGGTTAATTTATAAATGAGAAAACATTATGTAGAGCAGTTCTTATATTCCTGAATTTACACTAAAATTATGTTTAAATAGATTATGTGATAAATTTACTACTTACATATGGTAATGTTAAGAACTTAATGCATTGCTGAATTTTATTTGCCAGTATTTTATTTTGCATTTTTGACTCTATATTTATACATTCAAAAATTTCCTTATGCAACTTAAAGAAAAGAAATACCAGCCATGAATTTTATATTCTGTCAAACTACTCTTCTTAAACACAGTGGATGATTTCATTATGTGAAAAGACCAAATCCAAGTTTGACTGGTGTACCTGAAAGTGACAGGGAGAATGGAACCAAGTTGGAAAACACTCTTCAGGATATTATCCAGGAGAACTTCCTCAACCTACCAAGGCAGGCCAACATTCAAATTCAGGAAATACAGAGAACACCACAAAGATACTCCTCAAGGAGAGCAACCCAAAGACACATAACTGCCAGATTCACCAAGGTTGAAATGAAGGAAAAAATGTTAAGGGCAGCCAGAGAGAAAGGTCAGGTTATCCACAAAGGGAAGTGCATCAGACTAAAAGTGGATCTTTAGGTAGAAACACAACAAGCCAGAAGAGAGTGGGGGCTGATATTCAACATTCTTAAAGAAAAAAAATTTCAACCCAGAATTTCATATCCAGCCAAACTAAACTTCATAAGTGAAGGAGAGATAAAATCCTCTACAGACAAGCAAATGCTGAGAGATTTTGTCACCACCAGGCCTGCCTTACAAGAGCTACTGAAGGAAGCACTAAACATGGAAAGGAACAATCAGTACCAGTCACTGCAAAATCATCCCAAATTGTAAAGACCATCAATGCTAGGAAAAGACTGCATCAACTAATGGGAAAAATAACCAGCAAACATCATAATGACAGGATCAAATTCACACATAACAATATTAACCTTAAATGTAAATGGGCTAAATGCACCAATTAAAAGACACACACAGGAAAATTGCATAAAGAGTCAAGACCCATCAGTGTGCTGTATTCAGGAAACCCATCTCATGTGCAGAGAAACACATAGGCTCAAAATAAAGGAATGGAGGAAGATCTACCAAGCAAATGGAAAGCAAAAAGAAGCAGGGGTTGCAATCCTAGTCTCTGATAAAACAGACCTTAAACCAACAAAGATCAAAAGAGACAAAGAAGGCCATTACATAATGGCAAAGGGATCAATTCAACAAGAAGAGCTAACTATCCTAATATATGTGCACCCAATACAGGAGCACCCAGATTCATCAAGCAAGTCTTAAGAGACCTACAAAGAGACTTAGACTCCCACACAATAATAATGGGAGACTTTAACACCCCACTGTCAATATTAGTCACATCAATGAGACAGAAGGTTAACAAGGATGTCCAGGACTTGAACTCAGCTCTGCACCAAGCAGACCTAAAATAGACATCTACAGAACTCTCCACCCCAAATGAGCAGAGTCTACATTCTTCTCAGCACCACATCACACTTATTCCAAAATTGACCACATAGTTGGAAGTAAAGCACTCCTCAGAAAATGTGAAATAACAGAAATCACAACAAACTGTCTCTCAGACCACAGTGCAATCAAATTAGAACGCAGGATTAAGAAACTCACTCAAAACCGCAAAAATACATGGAAACTGAACAGCCTGCTCCTGAATGACTACTGGGCAAATAGCAAAATGAAGGCAGAATAAAGATGTTCTTTGAAACCAATGAGAACAAAGATACAATGTACGAGAATCTATGGAATACATTTAAAGCAGTGTGTGAGGGAAATTTACAGCACTAAATGCCCACAAGAGAAAGCAGGAAAGATCTAAAATTCACACCCTAACATCACAATGAAAAGAACTAGAGAAGCAAGAGCAAATTCAAAAGCTAGCAGAACACAAGAAATAACTAAGATCAGAGCAGAACTGAAGGAGATGGAGACACAGAAAACCCTTCAAAAAATCAATGAATCCAGGAGCTGGTTTTTTGAAAAGATCAACAAAATTGATAGACCACTAGCAAGACTAATAAAGAAGAAAAGAGAGAAGAATAAAATAGACACAATACAAAATGATAAAGGGAATATCACCACCAATCCCACAGAAACACAAACTACCATCAGAGAATACTATAAACACCTCTACACAAATAAACTAGAAAATCTAGAAGAAATGGATAAATTCCTGGACACACACACCCTTCCAAGATAAAACCAGGAAGAAGTTGAATCTCTGAATAGACCGATAACAGGCTATGAAATTGAGGCAATAATTAATAGCCTACCAACCAAAAAAAGTCCAGGACCACATGGATTCATGGCTAAATTCTACCAGAGGTGCAAAGAGGAGGTGCTACCATCCCTCCTGAAACTATTGCAATCAATAGAAAAAGAGGGAATCCTCCCTATCTAATTTTATGAGACCACCATCACCCTAATACCAAGCCTGAGAGAGACACAACAACAAAAAAAAGAATTTTAGACCAATATCCCTGATGAAAACCAATGAGAAAATCCTCAATAAAATACTGGCAAACCGAACCCAGCAGCACATCAAAAAGCTTATCCACCACAATCAAGTCGGCTGCATCCCTGGGATTCAAGGCTGGTTTAAAATACGCAAATCAATAAACATAATCCATCACATAAACAGAACCAATGACCAAAACTCATGATGATCTGAACAGATGCAGAAAAGGCCTTGAACAAAATTCGACAACACTTCATGCTAAAAACTCTCAATAAACTAGGTATTGATGGAACGTATCTCAAATTAATAAGAGCTATTTATGACAAACCCACAGCCAATATTATACTGAATGGGCAAAAACTGAAAGCATTGCCTTTGAAACTGGCACAAGACAGAGATGTCCTCTCTCACCACTCCTATTCAACATAGTATTGGGAGTTCTGGCCATGGCAATCAGGAAAGAGAAAGAAAAAAATGGTATTCAATTAGGAAAAGAGGAAGTCACATTGTCCCTGTTTGCAAATGACATGATTGTATATTTAGAAAACCCCATCATCTCAGCCCAAAATCTTCTTAAGCTGATAAGCAACTTCAGCAAAGTCTCAGGATACAAAATCAATCTGCAAAAATCACAAGCATTCTTATATACCCATAAAAGACAAACAGAGACCCAAATCATGAGTGAACTCCCATTCACAATTGCTACAAAGAGAATAAAATATCTAGGAATCCAACTTACAAGGGATGTGAAGGACCTCTTCAAGGAGAACTACAAACCACTGCTCAAGGAAATAAAAGAGGACACAGACAAATGGAAGAACATTCCATGCTCATGGATAGGAAGAATAAATATGAAAATGGCCATACTGCCCAAGGTAATTTATAGATTCAATGCCATCCCCATCAAGCTACCAATAACTTTCTTCACAGAATTGGAAAAAACTACTTTAAAGTTCATATGGAACCAAAAAAGAGCCTGCATGGCCAAGACAATCCTAAGCAAAAAAAAAAAAAAAAAAAAAAAAAGTTGGAGGCATCACGCTACCTGACTTCAAGCTCTACTACAAGGCTACAGTAACCAAAACAGCATGGTACTGGTACCAAAAGAGATATATAGACCAATGGAACAGAACAGAGGCCTCAGAAATAACACCACACATCTACTACCATCTGATCTTTGGCAAACCTGACAAAAACAAGAAATGTCAAAAGGATTCCCTATTTAATAAATGAAGTTGGGAAAACTGGCTAGCCATATGTAGAAAGCTGAAACTGGATCCCTTCCTTACACCTTATACAAAAGTTAATTCAAGATAGATTAAAGACTTAAATATTAGACCTAAAACCATAAAAACCCTAGAAGAAAATCTAGGCAATACCATTCAGGACATAGGCATGCGCAAGCATTTCATAGCTAAAACACCAAAAACAATGACAACAAAAGTCAAAGTTGACAAATGAGATCTAATTAAACTAAAGAGCTCCTGCACAGCAAAAGAAACTACCATCAGAGTGAACAGGCAACTTACAGAATGGGAGAAAATTTTTGCAATCTCCCCATCTGACAAACGGCTAATATCCAGAATCTACAAAGAACTTAAACAAATTTACAAGAAAAAAACAAACAACCACATCAAAAAGTGGGCAAAGGATGTGAACAGACACTTCTTAATAGAAGACATTTATGCAGCCAACAGACACATGAAAAGATGCTCATCATCACTGGCCGTCAGAGAAATGCAAATCAAACCACAATGAGATACCATCTCACACCAGTTAGAATGGTGATCATTTAAAAAGTCAGGAAACAACAAATGCTGGAGAGAATGTGGAGAAATAGGAATGCTTTTACACTGTTGGTGGGAGTGAAAACTAGTTCAACCATTGTGGAATACAGTGTGGCAATTCCTCAAGGATCTAGAACTAGATATACTGTTTGACCCAGTGATCCCATTATTGGGTATATACCCTAAGGATTATAAATCATGCTGCTATAAAGGCACATGCACACGTAGGTTTACTGTGGCACTATTTACAATAGCAAAGACTTAGAACCAAGCCAAATGTTCATCAATGATAGACTGGATTAAGAAAATGTGGCACATATACACCATGGAATACTATGCAGCCATAAAAAGGATGAGTTCATGTCCTTTGCTGGGACATGGATGCAGCTGAAAACCATCATTCTGAGCAAACTATCCCAAAGACAGAAAACCAAACACCACATGTTCTCACTCATAGGTGGGAATTGAACAATGAGAATACTTGGACACAGTGTGGGGAACATCACACCCAGGGGCCTGTCATGGGGTTGGAGAAAGGGGGAGGGATAGCATTAGGAGAAATACCTAATGCAAATGACGAGTTAATAGGTGCAGCAAACCAGCATGGCACATGTATACCTATGTAACAAACCTGCATGTTGTGCACATGTACCCTAGAACTTAATGTATAACAATAAAAAAAAAAAAGAAAAGAGATAACCAAAATCAGAGCAGAACTAAATAAAATGAGACCAGAAAAAACACACAAAGAATCAATAAAGTGAAAAGTTTGCTCTTTGAAAAAATAAACAAAATCGACCACTACCTATATTAACAAAGAACAAATGTGAAGATCCAAATAAGCACAATTAAAAATGATAAATATAATATTACAGGTGATCCCACAGAGATGAAAGAGATCCCTAGAGACTACTATGAACACCTCTGCACAAACTAGAAAATCTAGAGAACATAAAAAAAAAATCTGTAAACACACAATTTCCTGTTATTGAACCAGGAAGAAATTAAAACCCTAAAGAGACAAATAAAAACTTGCAAAATGGAATCAATCATAATAATAATAAAAAAAAAAACCTGACAACCAAAGTAAGCCCTGGACCAGACATATTCAAGCTGAAATCTACCTGATGTACAATGAAGACCTGGTACCAATCTTACTGGAACTATTCCAAAAATAAAGGAGGAGGAATTCTTCTCCAACTCATTCTGTGAAACCAGTATCATCCTGGTACCAAAACCGTCAAGAACACACACATAAAAATAAAACTACAAACCAATATTTCTGATAAACACAGACACAAAAATCCTCAAAAAATATTAGCAAGCCAAATCCAGTAGTGCAATAAATAGCTAATTGATATGGTTTGAATCTGTATCCCCATCCAAATCTCACATTGAATTGTAATCTACAAAGTTGAAAGTGGGGCTTGGTGGGAGCAGCTTAGATCATGGGGGCAGATTTTCATAAATGGTTTCTCATCATCACTTTGTTGCTGTCCTCGCATTAGTGAGTAAATTCTCACTAGATCTGATTGTTAAAAAGTATGTGGCACTCTCTCTGTGTCTTACTCCTATTTTTGCCATGTGATGTGCCTGCTCCCACTTCACTTTCCAACATAAGTAAAAGCTCCCTGAGGCATCCCCAGAAACCAAGTGATGTTGGTGCCATGCTTGTACGTCATGAAGAACCATCAGCCAATTAAACTTCTTTTAATTATAAATTACCCAGTCTCAGGTATTTCTTTATAACAACGAAAGAATGGCCTATTACAGAAAATTGGTACCAGGAATGAAATATTGCTGTATTGCTGTAAATATATCTGAAAATGTGGAAGCAGCTTTGGAATTTGATAACAGGCAGAGCTTGGAAGAGTGGACAGCTCAGAAGAAGAGAGGAGGATGAGGGAAAGCTTAGAACATCTGCAAGACTGGTAAGTGGTTGTGACCAAAATGCTAAGGGTGATATGGACAATGAAGTCCAGTCTGCGGAAGTCTCAAATGAAAGTGAAAAACTTAATGGAAACTGGAGCAAAGATCACTTTTGTTATTCCTTAGTAAAGAATTTGGCTGCATTGTGCCTCTACCCTAGGGATCTATGAAACTTTGAACTTGAGAGTGATGATTTATTGTATCTGGTGAGAGAAATTTCTAAGTAGCAAAGCATTCAAGAGTTAGCCTGGCTGCTTCTAACAGTCTATGCTCACATGCAGGAACAAATAAATGACATAAATTTGGTCTTATATTAAAAAGGGAAAAAGAGCATAAGAGTTTGAATAATTTGTACTGTGGCCATGTGGTAGAAAAAGAAAATGCTTCCTTGGGAGACAAATTCAAGCAGGCTGTGGAGCTAGCACTCCACAGTTATTTTAGTTATTAAATAGAGAAATTTGCATAACAAAATGAAGCCAAGTGTTAATATCCAAGACAGTGAGGAAAAGGACTTGAAGGCATTTCAGATACCTTTGCAGCAGCCCTTCCCATCACAGGCCCTGAGGCCCAAGAGGAAAAATTGTCTTCATCGGCAACATTCAGGGCCTGGCTGCCCTACACAGTATCAGGACACTGTTCCCCACATCCCAGCCATTCCAGCTCCAGCGTCAGCTCGATCAGGCCCAGATACAGTTTGGGCTGTAGCTCCGGGGGTCAAAGGCTGCCATAATCCTTGGAGGCTATCATGTGGTGTTAAGCCTATCATCAATGAACAGTGTGCAAGTGTGGGTGAGTCTTGGGAATCTAAGTCTTGGCAATCTACTGGAGCTTGCACCCTCAGCATGGAAAAGTTGCAGTGATTCAACAACTGTGTGAGCAGCCTCCAGGTCTGAACTCTGTAAAGCCACAGGTGCAGAGATGCCCAAGGCCTTATAAGCCCACTGCTTGTACCAGCACGCCCTGAAGGTGGGACATGAAGTCAAAGGAGGTTATTTTGGAGCTTTAATATTTATTGAGTGCTCTTCTGGATTTAGGACTTGCATTGGGCCTTTAGCCCCTTTCTTTTGACTTTTTCCCTTTTGGAATGGGAGTATTTACTCAATGCCTGTACCTAATCTTGCCTTGGAAGTAACTGACTTGTTTTGGTATTACAGGTTCATAGGTGGAAGAGACTACTCTCATCTCAGATGAGACATTGGGTTTTGGGCTTTTGAGTTAATGCTAGAATGACTTAAGACTTTGGGAGACTATTGAAAATACATGATTATATTTTACAACATGAGAAGAACTTGAGATTTAGAGGGGCAGTGATGGAATTATATGGTTTGGATTTGTGTCTCCACTCAATTTTATTTTGAATTGCAGTCCTCAGTGTTGGAAGTGAGGCCTGATGGGAGGTGACTGGATCATGAGGATGATTTCTCATGGTTTGACACTATTGCCTTTGGTGTTGTTCTCACAATAGTGAGTGTGTTGTAGTGAGACGCAGTCATTTAAAAGTGTGCAGCACCTGCCCCCTCCCTCTCTCTTGTCCCTGCTCTGGCCATGTGACATGCCTGCTACCTATTTGCCTTCTTCCATGATTATAAGTTTTCTGAGGCTTTCCCAGAAGTTAAGCAGATACCAGCATCATGATTCTTCAATGGCCTGCGGATCTGTGGAGCCAATTAAACCTCTTTTCTTTATAAATTACCTGGTCTTGGGTATTCCTTTATATTAACAGCAATACAAGAATGTTCTAATAGAGTAATTTACCATGAACAAGTAGGCTTTATTCCTGGATGCAAGGATGGTTTCACATAGGCAGGTCAATAACTGTGAATCATCACATAAACAGAATTAAAAACAAAAGCCATAAGATCTCCTCAATAGATTCAGAAAAATATTTAATAAAATCCATCATCCTTTATGTTAAAAACACTAAAAAAACTAAATGTCGAATGAAGATACCTCAAAAGAATAAGAGCCATCTATGACAAACCCACAACCAACATCATACTGAATGGGCAAAGTTGGAAGCATTCTACCAAGGAAATGAAATAAGACAAGGCTGTCCACTCTCATCACTCCTATTGAATATAATACTGGAATTCCTACTGAAAAAAATCAGCCAAGAGGAAAAAATAAAAGACATCCAAATTGGAAAAGAGGAAGTCAAATTACTTCTTTTCACTAATGATATGATTCTATGCCTAGAAAATCCTAGTAATTTTGCCAAAAGTCTCTTAGACCTGATAAACGAATTCAGTAAAGTTTTGAGGTTGAAAAATCAATGTAGAAATATCATTAGCATTTCTATTCACCAATACCTTTGAAGCTGAGAAGCAAACCAAGAATGCAATCTCGTTTGCAATAGCCAATAATGCTCATTAATTGGAAGAATTGATATCATTAAAATATCCTAAAGGAATTAATACATTCAATAGCATTCCTAGAAAATTATAGGCATCACTTTTACATAGTTAGAAAAAAGTTCTAAAATTAATATGGAATCAATAAAGAACTCACATAGTCAAAGAGTCCTAGGCAAAAGGAACAAAACCAGAGGCATCACATTACCCAATTTTAAACTACTGTAAGAGGTGACAGAAATCAAAACAGCATGGTGCTGGTATAAAAATGACATGTACACCAATGGAACAGAATAGAGAATCCAGAAGTTAATACACACAGCCACACCAACTGATCTTTGACAAAGTTGACAAAAATAAACACTGGGGAAAGGACATCCTATTTAATAAATAGCACAGAAGAATGAAACTGGACCTCTACCTCTTACCATATATAAAGAATAACTCAAGATAGATTAAAGAATTGAATTTAAGGCCTCAAGCTATAAAAATGCTAGAAGAAAAAGTAGCAAATACTCTTTTGAACATTGTCCCAGGCAAAGAATTTATGACTAATCCTCAAAAAGCAAATGTAGGAAAAACAAAAAATTGACGGTTGAGACCTAATCAAACTAAAAAGCTCTACACAGCAAAACAAACAAACAAAAACTATAAGCAGAGTAAACATATAATCTACAGAGTGGGAGAAGATATTTGCAAAGTATGCATTCAACAAAGGACTAATGTTGTGGGCAGTCAGGGACCCCAAACGGAAGGACTGGCTGGAGCTGCGGCAGAGGAACATAAATTGTGAAGATTTCATGGATATTTATCACTTCCCTAATAATACTTTTATAATTCCTTGCACCTGTCTTACTTTAATCTCTTAATCCTGCTATCTTCATAAGCTGAGGATGTACGTCACCTCAGGATCACTGTGATGATTGTGTTAACTGTAAAAATTGATTGTAAAACATGTGTGTTTGAACAATATGAAATCAGTGCACCTTGAAAAAGAACAAAATAACAGTGATTTTTAGGGAACAAGGAAAGACACCCATAAGGTCTGACTGCCTGCGGGGTCAGGCAAAAAGAGCCATATTTTTCTTCTTGCAGAGAGCCTATAAACAGACGTGCAAGTAGGAGAGACATCGCTAAATTCTTTTCCTAGCAAGGAATATTAAGACCCTAGGAAAAGAATTGCATTCCTTGGGGGAGGGGGGTCTATAAAAGGCCGTTCTGGGAGTGTCTGTCTTATGCAGTTGAGATAAGGACTGAAATACGCCCTGGTCTCCTGCAGTACCCTCAGGCTTACTAGGATTGGGAAACCCCGCCCTGGTAAATTTGAAGTCAGACCGGTTCTCTGCTCTTGAACCCTGTTTTCTGTTGTTTAAGATGTTTATTAAGACCATATGTGCACAGCTGAACATAGACCCTTATCAGGAGTTTTTTATTTTGCCCTTTGCCTTGTGATCTTTGCTTTGCCCTTTGCCTTGTGATCTTTATTGGCCTCAGAAGCATGTGATCTTTGTTCTCCTTTTTGCCCTTTGAAGCATGTGATCTTTGTGACCTACACCCTGTTCATACACCCTCTCCCCTTTTGAAGTCCTTAATAAAAACCTGCTGGTTTTGCAGCTCAGGTGGACATCACAGACCTACAGATATGTGATGTCACCCCTGGTGGCCCAGCTGTAAAATTCCTCTCTTTGTACTCTTTCTCTTTATTTCTCAGATCGGCTGACATTTAGGGAAAATAGAAAGAACCTATGTTGAAATATTGGGGGTGGTTCCCCTGATAGACTAATATCCAGGATCTACAAGGAACTTAAACAAATCAATAAGAAAACTATAAATAACCCCATTAAAAAGTAGGCAGAAGATTTAAACAGACACTTCTCAAAAGAAGGCATAAGAGCAACCAATACACATATGAAAAAATGCTCAATAGCGCTAATCATCAGAGAATTGTAAGTCAAAATTACAATAAGGTTTCATCTCACACCAGTCAGAATGGCTATAATTAAAAGTTCAAAAACAGTATATGCTAGCATGGATGTTGTGGATAGGGAACACATATACTGTGGGTGGAAATGTAAATTATTACAACCACTATAGAAAACAATATCTAGATTTCTCAAATTGCTAAACATAGAATTACCATTCCACCCAGTAATCCCACTACCGGGTATATACCTACAGGAAAATAAATTATTCTAATGAAAAGACACCTGCACTCACATGTTTATTGCAGCACTATTAACAATAGCAAAGACATATAATTAAGCTAAGTGCTCATCAATAGTGGATTGGATAAAGAAACTGTATATGGAATACTACACAGCCACAAAAAAGAACAAAAGCATATCATCCTCAGCAACATGGATGCAGCTGGAGGCCATTAATTTAAGTGAATTTAATCAGAAACAGAAAACCAAATACTGCATATTCTCACTTATAAATGGGAGCTAATCATTGATTCACACGGACATAAAGATTAGGTCAGTTGACACTGGAGAATTGAAAAGGGAAGAGAGAGAGATAAAGTAGGGCAATGGTTGAAAAATTAACTCCCGAATACCATGTTCACTGTTTGGGTGATAAGATGAACAGAAGCCCAAACTTAAGCATCATGCAATATACCAATGTAACAAACCAGCACATGTACTTCCTGAATCCCCTGAATCTAAAATTTAAAATGAAAATAAAATTAAAAAAATAAATTCTAGACTAGACTGTAACTCAAAAGAAAAATTCTTATGTAGTCAATTATTCAAGTTTTCTATTCTTGCTTTATTTTTATAATTCTTTGAAACAGAAAACCATCCATTTCAATTAGATTTTCAAATTCATTGGCATTAGATCTGTCATAGCATTTTACAAGTTTTATCTCATGTTGGTTATTCTGTGTCCTTTTTTATTTTCTAATATTTACATTTTTGGCCTAATTCTAATTTTGATTATGTAATGTCATATGCGTAATTCCTGCTTTTTGCATCTGAGCCTTTATTACCTAGTATATAATCAACTTTTATAAACATTTCATGGATGTTGCAAAACATACACTCCCATTTTGTGTAATTTAATGTGCACGAACAATCTCTTCTGCCTTGTTGGATTTTTAAATGTATCCAAAAACCTTTATTTGTTCTGAAGCAATTGTAGTTTTTCTCTATTTACCTTATTGACTACTCACGCTTTATAATATTTACCATTTTCTGATTAAAAATAGTATGCTTACGTTTTGAAAAAAACAGAAAATTTTAAAGTAGAAAATAATAATTATCTATAATCAGGTCTCTCAAAAGTTACAAATTTTAACATTTCAATGTATTTTTCTAGTTTTTATAAATACAAATGTGTGTACTTATGGCTGAGGGCATCCATACTATAATATATTTATTCACATTTATCCTCAACTTTGCAGTGATGCAAGAGATTAAAATAAGCATTTATAAAGAGGAGTGTAATAAAATGAGAGTTCAGAATTTTTAGTTTATTTTAAAAAATTATTGTAAATTGACAAGTTATAGTTGTGTATATTTTTAAAAGATTCAGAATGTTGGAAAATATAAAAAAATACAAGTATCACAACATTTTAATTGTATAGTTATTTTCGATACAAGGGAAGAGCATCTTAAAAGTATGAACATTTCCCATGAAATTCATTGTATTATAGTAATACATAGGCCAGTAATACAATGTTAAACATATGAGTTCTGAATTCCAATTTTTAGAGTTAAAAATCCTGACCTTGGCCAGGCACGGGGGCTCACACCTGTAATTCCAGCACTTTGGGAGGCCAAGGCAGGTGGATCACCTGAGGTCAGGAGTTCGAGACCAGCTTGGCCAACATGGTGAAACCCTGTCTTTATTAAAAATACAAAAATTAGTCAGGAGTTGTGGCAGGCGCCTATAATCCCAGCTGCTTGGGAGGCTGAGGCACAAGAATAGCTTGACCCCGGGAGGCGGAGGTTGCAGTGAGCCAAATCATGCCACTGCACTTCAGCCTGGGCAACAGAGTGAGACTGCGAAAAAAAAAAAAAATCCTGACCTTGTCATTTATTAGCTGTATATTCTCGAACAAGTTACTTAAACTATCTGTACTTGTTTTTCATCTGGAAAGTGGGGTTAATTATTGTATCCACCTCATGGGGTTGTTTTTAAAAAATCAGTATGATGATCTGGCCGGGTGTGGTGGCCCTTGCCTGTAATTCCAGTACTTTGGGAGGCCGAGGTGGGCAGATCACCTGAGTTCAGGAGTTCGAGACCAGCCTGGTCAACATAGTGAAACCCGGTCTCTACTGAAAATTTCAAAATGTAGCCAGGTGTGGTGGCACTTGCCTGTATTTCCAGCTGCTTGGGAGTCTGAGGCAGGAGAATTGCTTGAGCCTGGGTGGCAGAAGTTGTAGTGAGACGAGATCGTGCTACTGCACTCCAGCCTCCAGCATGGGTGACAGAGCAAGACTCTGACAAGAAAGAAAGAAAAGAAAGAAAGAAAGAAAGAAAGAAAGAAAGAAAGAAAGAAAGAAAGAAAGAAAGAAAGAAAGAAAGGAAAAGAAAGAAAAGAAAGAAAAAAGAAAGAGAAAGAAAGAAAGAAAGAAAGAAAGAAAGAAAGAAAGAAAGAAAGAAAGAAAGGAAAGAAAGGAAGGAAAGAAGGAAAGAAGGAAGGAAGGAAGGAAAGAAAGGAAGGAAAGAAGGAAAGAAGGAAAGAAGGAAGGAAGGAGAAAAGAAAAAAGAAAGAGAGAGAGAGGAAGGGAGGGAGGAAGGGAAGGAAGGAAGGGAGAAAGAAAGAAAGACAGAAAGACAGAAAGAAAGAAAGAAAGAAAGAAAGAAAGAAAGAAAGAAAGAAAGAAAGAAAGAAAAGAGAGAGGGAGGGAGGAAGGGAAGGAAGGAAGGGAGAAAGAAAGAAAGGCAGAAAGAAAGAAGGAAAGAAAGAAAGAAAGAAAGAAGAAAGAAGAAGAAGAAGAAAGAAAGAAAGAAATGAAATATGAAGACCCATATAAAGTTCTCCTCACATGGTTGGATTGAATAAATCATAGCTATTCCTGTTGTATGTTTCTTATTATTCATGTGTCTGTCTGTGAAATTAATCTAGATAGTCCAAATCTCAGAATGAATGAGTAAACAATAGTGTTTACTTGCCAACAGGCTTTTGCCCCTGTTATTATGTCATATTGTTTCTCAAGATCTGTATAAGCTTTTTTTATCTCCACAAACTTTATGATCCATCTTGGCTCACTTCACCACAGAAAAGTACAAATTATATACCTGACATTCAAGGTCCTCTATATTCTTAATTTCTAACTTTTACAGCCTTGTTAATTACTGCTCCTTTCTGTATTTCTAGCCAAGCTATCATATTCAGTACTAGGCACTCCTTAGCTTTTTTTCTCTTTCCACCCTTAACACAGAAGGGTTTCCAATAAGAAGGCTTACTCTTCCTCTATATTTATTGCTGATATGGTTTAAATGTTTTATCCTCCTTAAAACTCAGGCTGAAATGTGACCCCTAATGGTGTAGGTGGGCCTACGGGTAGGTGTTTTGTTCATGGGAGCAGATCCCTCATGAATGACTTGGTTCTGTCTTCAAGGTAATGAGTGAGTTCTCACTCATTTCATGCAAGATGTTTGTTTAAAAGAGTGTGGCACTTTTTCTTCACTCTCTCTTGCTCCCTCTCTCACCATGTGACATGCCTGCTCTCCATTCGCCTTCCATTATAGTTATAAGCTTCCTGAGGGCCTCGCAGGAAGCAGAAGCTGGTACTACTTGTACAGTCTTCAGAACACATATTTTATAAGGGTAATTCATTTGATCAGTGGCAAATGTTATACCTATACTCTGTGGTAGTATTTAAAGCTTTTGTATTTTTATTTTTGTGGGTACATAGTAGGTGTATATATTTATGGGGTTTATGAGGTGTTTTGATACAGACATGCAATGTGAAATAAGCACAGCATTGAGAATAGGGAATCCATACCCTCAAGCATTTATCCTTTGAGTTACAAACAATCCAATAACACTCCTTTTTTTTTTTCTGCTCTGTCACCCAGGCTGAAGTGCAGTCAGTGACACAATCTCAGCTCACTGCAACCTCCATCTCCCGAGTTCAAGTGATTCTCCTGCCTCGACCTCCCAAGTAGCTGGGATTACAGGTGCGCACCACCACGTCCAGCTAACCGATAACACTCTTTAAGTTATTTTAAAATGTAAGGAGAAACAGCATATCCAGTCATGCATAAATGGCATTTAAGGTCATATAAATTGTTGCAAAGGTTATATTTCTCCCATTTTTGCTAAATTCCTTCCCATTTTTGCCAAAACTCTCAGAAGTTTAAACAGTCTTTCATCAGTGTTATGAGATACTGAATGGGTTCTATGTGGATTTTGGTAAGTGCCTTGCAGAGATTCGGGGGGAATGTTTAGCTTTAGTGTTGACTTTTTGAAAAACTAATTCAAGGATGTATGTTTTGATGTCTTGTTTGTCTCAAATTGTGTGCCTGTGACAAGCATAGGAATAACTGTTAAAATTGTTGTTTATTGTAATACCTTAAAGCAATTTCACGATTTCTTGCACTGCTCTGCCATCAGCTGAAGCACTGTCACATTTTCCTTTGACATTATGTAAGATATCCCCTTTAAAATGAAAGAACCAATAGTCGATTGCTTGAATGTTTTTATATTTTTATGTTTTTCTCTCTCACCACATTAGAGATTCACATGTCAAAAAAAAAGTTCAAAGATTCCACTTAAATGGTAGTCAAAATAAAAAGCATGTTGTTTAATTTGCCAACTATTCCATAAATCCTGTGCTTGAAGCACTACCTTTTATCAACCACTTGAAAGGAAGGAATATGAAGTGTGACTCTTGAGGATTGCAGTTCCATTTCTCCACAGACATAGCAGGGTGTGTAGTTCCAAATGGGTTTCTTCCAAAGTCATCTCCTCAGAGTAGGACTGTCTGTGTAGTCATTCTGATAATGTTGCCATTAACTACAAGCACATCTGAAAACCCTCGTAAGGAAGTGCCATTAGATTCAGATTAATAAAGTACAAGGAAAACCAGTTTAATTACTTTATAAATGCATAACTTTTTCTTTTCCCAGTGAGAGATCTTTTTAAAAAAATTCTCCTTTTTTTGCTATTCATTCTTCCATAGTCACTCTGTTCAAATGAATATTCTCAGAACTACTACTTCCTTTCTCCTCCCTTCACACCAAATGTCTATGCTATTTATACTGCAGACATAAAAGATAAAGAGTGATGAGGTCAGCTTCATAAATGTCAACCTGATAAGCTGAGGGATTGTTTGTATTCAAATTCTTTAAAATGGTGCTGAAACAACAACCACAACGTTTGAAAAAAATAAGATAAAAAGATTGTCAGAAAGAGGACACACACTTTTCTCATATTTATGATGGATAATACTTTCTGTTTCTAATGCAGATATTGTCAATTACGCTCACAGAAATCTTCTTAAAAGTTTCTAAAAAACAAATTTGTTTACAATATTATATAGCTATATTTAGGAAAAGTGAGCTTAGGCGAACTCCACACAAATTTCCAGGTTTTATAGAATGTTTATCACTCCACAGGGTTTTTTTTTTCACCTACTTATGAGGTTTGTAGGACTTGTATCATGCCTTAAAATATACATTTTTTAGAAATAATGAACTATTTGAGTTTCCTATACTCCTTATCATCAGGATTCTCTACCTTGGAACAGTATTAGGACAACGCATCTATTTACCACTTAAGACCTTGTGGTCTGAAGCTTGACATGCCAAACCCACAACCCACAGGTTTTTTGGAGAATTCCAGGCAAACCATGTTGAAATGGCCTTGATCTCATGTGGCTTAGCTTTAGTCTGTCTTCATCATTGAAGGCTAATTTAGTATAGACCTAATAAATGTAACAACAAAAGCAAGGGAATAACATAAGCATATATGGTGTATTATACTGGACCAATTTTGGCTAACCACTGTTGATCCTGAGGCAAATTGCTTAACCTCTCTGAAGTTCCATTTATTCATTTGTATCGGCAACTTCCACAGGTTTATTAGGAGGGCAAGATGAGATGTTATGTGTGGAAGAGTGGGAAGGGGGCGAGGGATAGAAGACTACAAATGTGGTGCAGTGTATACTGCTCGGGTGATGGCTGCACCAAAATCTCACAAATCACCACTAAAGAACTTACTCATGTAACCAAATACCACCTGTACCCCAATAACTTATGAAAAAAAAAGAAAGTACCTAACAAAGTGACAACCAAGAACACAATAGGCACTCAACACATTTTCAAGGAATGAATGAATTTCCATGCCTTTTCTTTAATAACAGGCTTGTGGTCCTGAAATTTATGCACATATTGCTTCAATTCTTCACACTGTCTTGCCTGTTAGAAAAATTTACCTGTTAGAAAGATTAGACATTTTTACTCTCACTCAGAATTTAAGGTCTTTATATGAAAGATTTTTTTTTTTACATCTAGGAAAAATTCACATATTTACTGTGCATTATTAACAATAACTTACTTATTGAAAAAAATTTAAGGTAAACTATTCAACTTTTATTTACATCTGTAAAAACTTGATCTAGGTTTCTTAAATAAGAAAGTGGCTTGAATTTTAAAGAGGAATCAGGTAAATCTATTTTCTCTTCCTCTCTCACGTTTTTCACACTCTGCCTTCACCATCACACCCCTGTTGACTGTGAATATTACACAAAAGTACTTATTCCTGTTTTTTACAATGTTCAATTAAAGAAATTGGTTGACAATTCTGGCCTTTGGAAAAAGACAAGGAACGTAGGTAAACAAAGGCGTAATTAAAGAGATATCTTAATTTTAGCCAATCATTGATGAACCACTCTCCTTGCTCATGAGGCGGGAGCGGGTCACAGAACTGCCATGGCGGGATAGTTGGTCACGAAACTCTGAAGCCATAAAGTAATAAAGAATTGGATCCAAAAGGCAGCAGAGACTTGCAAGGCACAGGCAAAAAGGGTGGAAATACAGTGCGATTCGGACAACGGGACAACTGCTAATGATGGTTTCCTTTACCATGGTGTAAAAAATAAAGTTAATATGATAGGGAGTGAAGCAGATGAAGAAGACTGCAGCACACATGAACACCATCCGCAGTGCTTTCTGCCTCTCACTGATCCCTTGGAAAGCCATTGGTGGCTGTCTCAAGGATATAGTAGTTTTCCAGGTACACCATGCGATGATGATCACTGGGATCACAAATCCTGCAAGCTCAGCAACTGTAATCATCCCGACCAACGCAACTGCATTCATTTGCTTGTATCCAAGATCAGCAAAGCAGGACTTGTTGTTGTTTAAGTCTGTGCTTCTCAGGATGGGAAATGGCAAACAGGCAGTCCCCACAACGATCCAGATGGCAGCACTGATGCCCACATCGTACCTACGCTTCCAGTCTCTGGCCCTGAAGGGCTTGAGGAGAAAAAAGCACCTTTGAAGACTGATGCACGTCAGGAAACAAATGCTGGCATACATGTTGAGATACTTCAGGTAGAAGCAGAGCAGGCAAAGGGCTCTCTGGAAAGGCCAGTGGTGGCTGATGTAATAGTAAATCCGGAGGGGTAAAGATAATACATGAGCAAGGTCAGCCACAGAGAGGTTGATCATGAAAATGATGGCTTTATTTTTCTTGCTGATGAAGCGGCACAGAACCCACAAGGCTGCACTGTTAGCCAGAAGACCAGGAATGAATATGAGGATATAGGTGGTTGCATAGAGGGAGTATTGAAATTTCACATTAGTGACATTACAGTAAATCTCAGCAGTGCTGGTACTGTTGCTACCCATCTTGAATGTTTCAGTGTATTTGTCAAGGTTAGCCATGGATTTATGGTTCCTGCCCAAAGTAAAACAAAATAAAGAGTAAAATGGTTAATTAGTTCTTTAGTTAACACCTAGATCTCTCTTTTATACTTACAGAGGCACAGACTATTAGAATTAGAAGAGACATGTTTACATATAAAGAATTAGAGGCTCAAGGAAAATATAGTACTGATCCAAAGTCACCCAATGTAACAGTTAAGGAACCATAAAATTGTCCCACAACTGCACCCTCCACCCCAGATTCTCTAAGTTGTATTTTGCAGGCTAAGATGTCTTGAAATGTTAAATCTTTTATTCTGACCACAGCAAAAACAGCATAGAATTCGATTATATTTATTTTGACTCCAAATTTGTCTTGTCCAAAGCCCTGGTTAGAATAAATACTGCTCACTCCTAATTGCAGTAGTAGAAATTTAGCCTCACTTTTTAGGTTCCCATCCCTGTCCTTTGTCTGCCATTTTGCTCTTTGGGTCCTGGCTTCTTATCTTGGAACCCCATCACTTGAAAAATTGTCCTGCCTCCTTAAGCCTGCATTGTCAGTGTCCCGGCTGATCTTCAAGACCTGAGAATGTGGCCTCATTATTCTATCATAATAACTTGTGACTCTAGGTTATCCTGCAGTTTGTCTCTCTCCCTAGGCTTGGGTATCCAAATTTACATAAAAAGCTTTAATAATACATGAATTTAGAAGCTAAAATAGAGTATTTTCCTTCATATAATCTTGGAGGGGAAAAGACCAATTCTACCTCTAAGTAGAATCCTGTATTGGTGTGGCAACATTCACATGGCATATTATCCAACAGTCACAATACTTTGGGCACTAGCAATGCTTGTGGGCACTAGCAATGCTTTGGGCACTAGCAAAACAGGGCCACTGAAACCATTTTTGAAGACAGTTTAAAATGTAATGCTTTCTTTATTCATTAAAGTAATCATTATGAAGAGATTCCTTCTTTTTTGGACTTCCTTAATCATATTTTATGATTTAGTATGGTTTTTATTATGTGTTATATTAAGGTATAGAGAGAGTAGAGTAATCTTTAGAGATTATCAGAGGCTAGGCATGGAATTATGCTGATTGCCTGCAGATAAGAATGGTAGGAGAGCAACAGATTCCTCATTTTGCTTTAACTATCTTGTAGAATTTCAGACTGGGAAGGACCTTTGGAAATCATCAAATTCACTCTCCACATAATATAGATAGAAGCAAGGCCCAGAGAGAGGAGTTTATTATGGCCACACAGCTATTAATGGAAGATCTGAGACTCGAAATGGGAGGACAAGGGACCTTGCTTCCATGCACACCCTTCTCCTCATCTTTGTTTTTCTCCCCATGACAAAGTTCACAAGCATACCTTCTGTGCATATTGCAGGAATGTTTACTGTATTTCGAGCTAGAAGTGGAAAAAAAACAATGTACTGAGGTTGTTTCTCAGATGGGGAAGGGTTTCTGTTGTTTATTGTTTTTTTTTTTGTTTTGTTTAAAGTAAGTTTACAAAAAGCAAAGAAGTAACCTGGTTTTAGATTCTCCTCATGAGTAGCAGAATGGCTTCCTGTCATATTAAGTCCTGCTCCAGGAAATAGAGCTGTGCTAACAAAAACAGAGCCTCAAGTGATGAATTCACAGATAAAAGAGTGTGGCTGTTATGAGCTGCTGTTACTGTAAATAAAACTTTTGCTTTCCCCCATTCTATTCCATCTCCCTATTTGCCCTCTTATTTGTGATACATCTTAAACAGTCATGCAGTCATCTTGCTTATGTATGTGTTACTTAGAATGGAGGGTGGAAGGGACTCTCACAAATGGAAAGGCAGGAAATAATTATCATGTGGTGACGATCAAGGATGTATCCCAAAATCTGTAATGGAAGTTTTCAGGTGTATTTATTTAATTTAATTTTCACAACTGTCCTAAGATGTAAGAACTATTATCACCCTATGATCTAGATGAAAAAACTGAGCTTCAGAGGCATTCAGTAAATTGCCTTAAGTAGCAAAGCTAGAAAATGGTAAAGATAGGATTTACTATCATTCCTGGCTTGCTCTGAAGCGTGTGGTATTTCCACTATGCCACTTTCCTCTCCCTGACTAGGAGAGACTACTTAGTAGAATTTGGCTGTCTTAACTATCACTCCACATGCCTTTGCATGCTCATAGCTTAGCTCCCACTTATAAGTGAGAATACCTGGTTTTTGGTTTTCTACTCCTGTGTTACTTCACTTAGAATAATGGCCTCCAGCTCCATCCACGTTGCTACAAAAGACATTATTTCGATTTCACTGTGACATGTGAAGAGCACATTGTGGCAGAACCATTCTAATCCCATAGTAGGAACTTATATAACACTAGAATTCGTCTAGTTGGACAATCAGAATAGAAGTAAACACCTGTCCCTACTTATGCCACACTGTTCCCACCCTACCACCTACTTTGATTTTAGTGTTGGCACTGCTTCTACTATCAACTATTGTCCACACACAGGCAGTGAGAGAGCAAAGAAAGATCCATCAGTGCATTACAATTTCAATAACTAAGAATTGTTCATAACCTTACTCTCCTGCAGTCACACTTCCACTTTTGCACTTAAAAGAAATGGCTATTTGTTTTAGCTTCACTGGTGCAGAAAGTTTCACTTACAAAATGGGCATGTTCTGTTCACACCTCCCTGTTAAATAACAGAGCCCAATTATGCCAGAACAGCAAGCTAGAGGTCAAGTTTACACCTTTTTTATTTTTTAAATGTGGGTTCTTATGCTTCTGCAATTCACAGTTCATTGTGAGCGTAGAGATTTGCATGGCTTGTTTCCAAAAACCTCTTTTTTGCTTCAGACTGAAGGGAAGGTAAGAAGGGCTTTTTTTCCCCCAAATCTTCTTAGTGACCATTAGATGTAAAATCCCCGTGATGAGGAGAGGCAGAAGGTATTTATTTGGGGTTGAGCAGAAACATAGACTCTCTTAGAGGGAACACTTAGCTTGCTATGGACAATTGTGTCATTTCTGAAATATAAGAAAGGAGAAGCTAAGAAGCCACTAACAAGAAAATCCTGGATGGAAGGACTAAAATCAGAGTATATTCCTTCTCTCTGTTCCCTCACCCCATCCCTCTCTCTCTCTCTCTCTCTCTCTCTCTCTCTGTGTGTGTGTGTGTGTGTGTGTGTGTGTGTCTTTCTCTTCCTCTATCTATGAGTCTGGCTCTATTGTTGCCTACTTGTGGGCAGTTTGCTCCCTTTGTGTTGCCAATTTCTCTCCCCTCCAATCTGGACATATTCTTGGTTCCTGTCTCATAGGGATGTGGGATTGGTGATTCATTCCTGAATCTGTGCTTCCCTTTTCAGTCAGTGACCTGACTCCCCTCCCAGACACTCAAGCTAGAAATTAGGGAGTAATTCTGACCTTTGCCACTATATTTCCTCCCATAGACAATAAAAACCCAGAAAACCCAGGTAATTCTTCCTTCCATGTAAAATCCTCTCTAACCTATCTCCACCTCTACTGTCACCATCCTAATCCAGGCTGCTGTCATCAACCCTATTGGCTATTGCAACAGCTCCCTTACTAAACTGTTTACATTCCAGTCCTTCCCCTAAAGTTCATTCTCCATACCATGTCTAACATTAACATTAAGTATGGCTACCACTTATTTAGGGCTGCCTTTTATTTACAGGCTAAACACTTTATTCATTATGTCATCCATCCTCACAGGAGTCCTGTGATTATTTCCACATTGCAGATGAGAAAATTGAGGCTCAAAGAGGTTAAATAAGTGGTGCTGAGGTCACAAAATTCACATCTCTGGTTCCTTTTAATCTCAATCTGTGGGTCTAAGAGACCTTAACCACTCACTCGATCTAGGTAATCCTATACATCATTACACACTCTCACACTCTCTGTTCTTTCTCTTTTTAGCATCAACATTTGTAATTTAGGGTTTTTTTTTTTAATTTGTTTGTTGGTTATTACCCTCACTGTGCTCTTAAGTCCATCAGTGCCACAAAAAGATCTCCTTTTTTCATCACCATATAGCCAGGACCTAGCCTAGTAAGCATTCAAAGAACATATAAAAAGTATAATTGAACTGAACTGCTTAAACAATAGTTCAAAGTTTCTGTTTAGAAGTATTAAGCATAAATTAAAAACCTTGATATATCAACTAGTACATTTCTGATGCCGACTATTTCCCTAAAATGTTGTCTTCTGACTTGGGCTTCTCCTATCAATATTCCCTGCACCTATCCTTTTCACCTCAGAAAAGCAATACCTGTAGAGACCTGAGAAAAGAGAAAAGAAATCAATTTAGAAATCACAGGTGGTCAGACATATCCTATGGGTAGAAACTAGCACAGTCCAAGGTCTCAGGGTACCATCAATACTATTATCTGGACCTCAAGAAAAGGACAGCTTCATGATTTGCTTTCAAAGTTATCTCAACCTTTTATTTTTCTTGGTTGTCATTCTGTGAAGGAAATCAGAAAATGACTTGTTATCCACCTACACATGGGAGTGAGGAGGCTGCGTCTGTAATCACTAAAGCTCTCTGCATTTGAAAAGAAAACATAAAGGGAAATAACTCTATTTCCTTTTCCATGGCTTTTTGAGGACTTTGGCTGCTTTAAAGCCCACACTCAATCAGTATATATTCAATAAGCCCCATCCTATGAGCTATTTGCTAGGTTCTATGGAGAATATAGAATCATCCACAACGATCTGTGTCCCTGAGAAACTTCCTATCTTTTAAAGGTGAAGGAAATAAAAATATTTTACCCTAAAATATATTTCTTTAAAATATTTTGAGATCATTGCCTCAGGGCTCACAGACTGAGGTGGGGAAAATTTGCATTTGCAAAGAATCTCCATGAATGTAGCCATGCCTCCCCATTCTATGCTTTTCTCAGATCCAGGAGAGATTGAGCCTGACATCTTTAAAAGTTGGAAAAGAAACATTTACCATCTGTTCTCTCTGACATAGGTTTCATCTATAACAAGGCCAACTCTGTTACCAAGCCTCTTACTTCCTTTCTCCAATAACTTGTCTTGCCACCAAAAACTGTTTTTGAACATACTCTGAGTTCACATTTATTCTGTAATTTCAAGATGGTATATAAGCTTTTCTTACCTATTGGGAAATTGAGTCTTCATTCTGAAGGCTCATGTGTATATACTTTAAATAAATTGTAATTCCTTATCTCATGTTAATCAATCTGCCTCATGCCAGTGATTTTGTAGCAACCTTGAGAGGGCCAAGAGCCTATGGTCCCCATAGGGGTAACATTTAAAAATCTCTAACATCACAATCAGTGAATAGCAACAATTGAAGTGAATGGCACAGGTGATGAGAATCCCTCAGTGTTGGCACAGCATCATTCCTGTGAATTAATTAGGAGAGATACCAGTACTATTTTAGCTGCTAAAGATAACATATAGGATTTAAATAGAACAATGGATACTTTAGGAAATGTGAGGTAAACTTTAACTTTATCTCTTACCTCATCACCATCTTTATTTTTCTCTCCACCCCGTCCCCGTTTTCTGCCGCTGATGGAGAGAAAAATAAAGAGGGTGGCTGGGGAAGAGATAAACTTAAAGTTAACCTCACTTTGTCTGAATTATCGATTGTTCTCTTTAAATCCTAGTGACCTTTCAAAGGTGAGGTCAAGTTGATCTCTTCAAAAATTCTCCATAAGCATGACCGTTTTTACTGGTTATTATTAGTATAATTCATCTGAATCTTAACAGTTTGTGATTTCATCCAAGTAGACATTCTGCTATGTGGGTGTCCTATATGCTAATTGCAAAGGATGATGGAGTGGAATGGGAAATTCCAGAGAAAAATAATCCATGGTTGTTGCCTTCAATAAGTTTACAGTCACATGTGATAGCCATAAGTAACTAACCATAACGGATTTCAGAAACATTTCATGAAAGAGGTAACAAAGACATTTCTGTGGAAGCAGAAATAAAGCCTGCATAGAATGGAAAGATTGGAAGTCAATTTTTTAATAAGCAGTTTTGGGAATGGGCAGGATTTTGGAGAAGAAAAGATCGGAAAGGTTTCCAGGGATGGATAAATAACATCCAAGGTTTCCAAAGTATAAAAATGAATGATATATCTAAAGGAAAAATAATAATTCTATCCCACCTGGTGAATAGGATAACATGGTGGGGAGGGTGAAATGGGAGGTATGATTGAAGGAAGGTAGTGAAAGGGAAAAGAGACTATAAAGGTAGAAGTTACCGGGTCATGAAAGATTTTTAATGAAATATTTTTAATGCACTTCATGATGAATCATCAAAGGATTCTGTGAAGAGATGCGATATCATCATACTTGTGTTTTAGAAAGATCAGGCTGCTGGCCAGGTGTGGTGGCTCACACCTGTAAACCCAGCACATTGGGATGCCCAGGTGGGTGGATCGCTTGAGCTCAAGAGTTTAAGACCAGCCTCGGTAACATGGTGAAACCTCATCTCTACAAAAAAATATAAAACAAAAAAATTAGCTGGGTGCGGTGGCACGCCTATGTGGTCCCAGCCACTCAGGAGGCTGAGGTGGGAGGATCGCTTGAGCCGGGGAGACAGATGTTGCAGTGAGTTGAGATTGCACCACTACACTCCAGCCTGGGTGATAGAGCAAGACCCCATCTCAAAAATAAATAATACTTTAAAAATGAATACATAAAAAATAGAAAGGTCACGCTGGCAACCATGTGGAAGATGAATTGAAGAAATGGGACACAGGGAATCCAAATCACTTTGGGAGTATGTAGGAAGACCAACAGTTGAGGTTTGCCTGTGACTGAGGGTTTTTTGGGACATAGTATTTTCAGTGCTAAACCTGTGACAGTCCAAAGCAAAGGGAATAGTTGGTCACCCTATTAGATTAGAATTTAAAGTAAAAGTCAGATATGGAATTGAGCAATTTTGAAGACTGCTTGAGGAGTCAAAGATGATTTCATTTATAAAACATGAAATGATATAAAAAAGGTATCGCAGTTTTGCACTTTTCCAAAGCAACTTCATATGCAGCAACTAACAGCATTCACTTCTGCTGATAATCTGAATCCATTAACCTATTTCTTATTCCAGTATTTTTCAATTTTGTACTATCTGCCAACCCTCATCAATTCCTAACTCTTCAAATGGTTTTCTTTCTCTAACATAATGACTGAGCTTCACTACAAATTGCACTATACTAACTTGCACCATACATTTCCAGAAACCTTCAATATCTAAATGCTTCCATTTCTCCTAGTCTCACATAGCATCCTCCCTCATCTTATTTCCTCCTGTGTCTAACCCAGATTAAATAGTTGGCCAAATTATCCACTCTTACACAAGAATACACAACTTCTTTGTTCTCCATTCTCCTGCTACACCAGCCTGGCAAGGCCCTAATCGCAGGTTAAGTCCACAACAGGTTTTCTTTCTTACTATCCAAATGGCTCAATTATCCTGTTGAAATACTAGTGTGTATTTGAAATGGCACAAATGGAAATTAATGATCTCCAGTCTAAAATTATTTTCCTCTACCCTCTTTTTGCATGAACCTGATTAGTATCTTCTCCTATTCCCATGGTGGCTAATCAGCCCCTTTTCTATTCTGCTAAAGCTTCTTCCTCTCTCTCCTGCTCCCCATCCACCACTTTTCTCGGAAGACTATTTGTTTTAGCCCTCAGCTCAAAGAGTAAATTGAGATTATTAGGTGAGAAGAAATCAACTTCATCTATTGTCCTTTTCTAACACGCATAATTTTATTTATAGCAGCACTCTTCTTACTTCCCAACACAGCTGTCCTTCCTGCTGCTCAAGATGAATTATCACACTCTTCTAACCTCCCTCAGGATTCTCTTTCATTGATTGTTCCCTTTCACTCCTAGAAAATCATGGTTTTCTACACTCTCAGCTAGAGCTTTTTCATCAAGTCTCTCCAACTCCCAAAGTAATTTTCTTGTCTACGCACCTTATTCTAGCTCTTTGTTGCCTTCCTGCCCTTCTCTCCATAGTTGTTTACACCAGTTTTTTTCTTTTCCTCACTTTATATCCATTCTTTAATGCACTTCAAGGTGGCATACATGTCCCCACAACCTCACTTCAGTCAGTACTTCTGTGGCTTTGAATTACCCAGAAAGAGGTGAGAATAGAATTCCCAGTGCCTCCAATGCCAGCCTTACAGAAGTAATTACTCTTGGTACCTCTAGTTTGAAGTGCTCTGTCCAGGGTACATGCTTCCTATTCCAAAGGTCAGGACCATTAAAAGAGATGCCTTTTCACTTGAAAGAAGGGTATGTTGGTGAGTGCCAAATCCTGAAGGGAATGACCAGCATAGAGTTTTAACCTAATAAGAAAAGCAGAAAAATCAGCCACCATCTCTGAAATAACAGGATTCACTTACAAAGTGTGTCTCTAAATACTATACAGCCATAAAAAGAATGAGATCATTTCCTTTGCAGGGACATGGATGGAGTTGGAAGCCATTATCCTTAGCAATCTAATGCAGGAATGGAAAACCAAACACCACATGTTCTCACTTATAAGTGGGAGCTGAATGATGGGAACACATGGACACATGGTGAGAAACAAGAAACATTGGAGTCTGTTGGGAGCTGTTGGGTGAGAGAGAGCATCAGGAAGAATAGCTAATGGATGCTGGGCTTAATAACTAGGTGATGGGATGATCTTTGCAGCAAACGACCATGACACACATTTACCTATGTCACAACCCTGCACATCCTGCACATGTACCCCTAAACTTAAAATAAAAGTTGAAGAAAATATGGGCAAAAAAACAAAAATCAAAGTATGGCTCTAAAGATGTTCCTGATAATAAAAATGGCACGCACAAAGTTATGACTAAAACTCCATCATATTCCTTTTTTACCTGGAGCCCAACTCAGAGGTCAATATTTTACTTCTGTCTCAATATCGCATCTCAACTCCCATTTTTTCCTTACATCGGGCAACCCTACTCTCACTCCCCTCTTCTTCGAACACCTACTGAATTTATAGGCTGCACTGTGAGAAGGTAAGACTACAGAGCATAGGCACATATTAGCAGAGCATTAGGCATTTTTACTTGTAAAGTCTCTCCCATGAAACACTCTCCTAAACAACAGCCATAATCTTTCTCCTTTCTGCTACTGAAGAAAATGTGGTCAAAGCAAGAATAATAAGGTTTTAGTCTAAGAAATCTGAACACCTAAGAGCTTTAAAGAAGGCAATCCAGCTTTCGTTTTGAAATCCAACAGGAATCCCTTAAACTTAATTAGGAATTTGATCACTGAAAACTTTATTTTGTGGAAACAACTAAATGTTTTCTCAGAATACAAAGGTATGGAAGGTCTTTAAATATGATTCATTGGAGCTGAGCCCAAAATCTTACTAGATACTAATACCATCTACCCAAAAGCAGCTGCTCTTCCCAACCAACTAGCTCAACGTTGTGGTTTTCACAAAGTTACAGCCAAACTGAGCTTATATTATTATGGCATCAGAATTTATATTAGTTTCCTAAGTCCCAGTGAGGAAATTTCCACATCCTGTCAGTAACTAGCTAAGTGCTATTCACGTTACCTCTAATCTTTGTAAGAATTCTGAGTTAATTACTATTATACTCCTTTACAGATTAGAAAATGGAGTCTCAGCAGGAGTAAGTGACTTTCTGCAGTCAGAGTTATGATTTCAGCTTTAATAAGGCTTTTCATAAGCCCAGAAAGCTAAAGTTATTTTTAGCTGAATAACTTATTATATGGACAGAAACATATTTTAAAGTGGTATTTCTGTGGATAAGACTGTTCCTCAGAGATAAAAAAGCTATTGTTTTCGGTTCTAGTTCTAGCAGTTTTATGCATATGCACTATGCATATATGGCAAATTGCTGCCCACCAGGTGTCAGGATAGGATTATATCAAAACCAACGTTCTTTATGGAATTGTGCTTATGAATTCAAATTATAACAAATCTGTAGATAGAAGTAATGGAACAATTTCTTTACAACAGGAGTGATCTGAATAGGACAAGACTTGCTGTAGGATACAGAAGACTCAAAAGCAGTATAATATATAGAAAGGTGTACTGGATTTGTAGCTAAGATACTTGGATTTCAGTAATTTTATATACTCTTTGTGCTGCTCTGATACGCTCTTTCCCTTCTGTGAGTTTCATTTCCTCATTATTAAAATAATATGATTTGAACTAGATGACCTTTAACTCCCTTCTAGCTCTCATTTGGTATGATTTCATGAGAATTCCCCCTCTGAACCCTGCTCCTAACTAATATCATCACCATTGACACTGCCACCATTTATGCAGCTGGTACCAACTCCATAAATCTTCACTCTCAATCTTCCCTGTCTTTTCACCACTCATCAGTAAGTCACTGGCACCACTAAGTAAACATGTTTATCAAATTTACTTCTCCATTTTATTTGATGCTGAAGCCTGTCTGTGGGCTTGTCATCCTGGGAGGGGAAGAAAAAATTAAACAGAGAAAACAAGTTGCTGATGGGGGCCCCTCCCACTCTCTAGAGGATAACTTTTACATGTCATCTGGGAACTTAACTTGCTTTGCCTCATCTTACCTTTTTCTTTTATTTTTTAACCACTAAATTTCACATGAATTATCCAAGCCAATCTGATCTCCATGACCCCGGTGTTCTTCATTCAGCCGCTTACAACCAGAACCAAAGAGTAGCAGCTAGAATTGGAAACTCTGCTGTTTCCTGAATAAATCTACATCAACTCCAAATAAGCCTGGTTGACATGAGATACACACAAATTTGGACACATTCTGCAAGTACAGACATTTTCTTCTGTTAGAGGAAGTGAAAATTATTTTTATCCTTAAAATGAATTAAAGCAATTAGACCATTAACAAAACAACAACTTAAAGTTTGAATTTGAACTTTCATGCAGGAATATGTATTGGACTTTCAATCATTTAGGAAGGCGGCCTAATTAGATATCATTTTTGCAGCTGTGGCAGCATTTTATGGGTGGAAATAATCATGTTCTTTGGAAGACCTGGTATCATATCATGTCTCAATTGTCGGTTCTCTGGCCTGAAACAATTCACTTCATATCACCAGGCTTCAGTTTCCTCTTTTGTAAAATTAGAATGGTTCCTGCCACATAATTTGTTTTGAGCATTAAAGAAAAATGTGTCTGAAAATAATAATCCGAGTAAACAGACAACCCACAGAATGAGAGAAAATATTTGCAGACTATGCATCTGACAAAGGACTAGAAACTAGAATCTACAAGGAACTCAAACAAGTCAGCAATAGAAAGAGAAATAATCCCATTATAGAGTGGGCAAAGGACATAAATAGAGATTCCTCAAAAGAAGATATACAAATGGCCAACAAACACGAAAAAATGCTCCACATCACTAATCGTCAGAGAAATGCAAATTAAAACCAGAATAAAATAGCACGTTACTGCAAGAATGGCTATTATTAAAAAGTGAAAAAAAAATAGATGCTGGTAGATATGTGGATAAAAGAGAAAGCTTCTACACTGCTGGTAGAAATGTAAATTAGTACAACTTCTATAGAAAACAGTATGGAGATTCCTTAAAGAGCTACAAGTAAATCTACCATTTGATACAGCAATCCTACTAATCACAATTGCAAAGATGTGGAATGAATCTATGTGCCAATTGACTAACGAGTGGATAAAGTAAATGTGGTGTATATACACTATGTAATACTCCTCAGCCATAAAAAGGATCGCAATAATGTATTTTTGCAGTAACTTGGATGGAGGTGGAGTCCACTATTCTAAGTAAAGTAACACAGGAGTGAAAAATAAAAAAAATAGATGTTCTCACTTATAAGTGACAGATAAGCTATGATTATGCAAAGGTATACAGAGTGATATAATGGAATCTAGAGACTCAGAAGAGGGTGGGTGAGACAGGCTAGGCATAAAAATATTACACATTAGGTACAACGTGCACTACTGAGGTGGTGGGTGCACTAAAAATCTCAGAATTTACTGCTATATAATTTACCCATGCAACAGAAAAAAACACTTGTAGTTCAAAAAATATTGAAATAGAAATGAAAAAAAGAAAATGTGTGTAAAAGTACCTATTTTCATGTCTGATACCCAATAAGTATTAAATAAATGTGAGTTCATTTCCTCTTTATTTGTACACAGAGTCATCTCCAAGGGCCTTTGGTTGGATCCTGTACATTTCTGGATTTAGAAAATCCCCTAAGAAGTGTAGTTGTAGCAGAGGACTAGAATATCTAGAGCAGTAATTTTTAAAGTTAAAGGGTAGAAAATAAGTGTTACTTGATAAAACATATTCCTTATTATAACAAATATATTTGGAAAACAAAATAAAAAATGTCATTATTGTTTCTACAATACAAACTGTGAAAGTACAGATCTACAAAATCCTCTTAACTGTTGGGCACTTAGTACTTGGAAAATGTCAATGTGATGGAGCAGATTTTTCTACAAGTCCAGGGTCTGGTCCCTAGGAAGGCAAGTTCACAGTAACCTTGTAGTGAAATGTTTACGTTTCTCAAAGGGAACCTTGGGTTTAAAAGATTGAGAAATGCCAACTGAGTGTCATTGTCACTGTGGAAATTAGATTTCAGAAAGTTTTATCTTTTGTCTTGCATTTTCTCATTTTTAAAAAAGGGAAATTACTTACAAAGCATTTGCCTGTGGTCTAAAAGTTGAAGCTGTCATGATAACATTACCTGAAAGAAATATAATGGCAATTGGGAAAGGATACTCAGTTCTCTTGGAGATCTGAACTACATTTCCAGAATGTCCTCTCTAGATAGATTTCCCTATTATGGCCCCATTATTCACCACTCCATAACATTTAACTATTCTTAGGTATCTAACAGTCTAACTCAAATCATTGGATTGCTAGGAAGGAAATTAGGAACCATCTATTCCAAGCCCTCTCCCATTATAATAGATGAGATTATTGAGATGCACAGAAATGAAATAACTCACCGAAGGCCACACCAGTCATTGGCAGAACTTGAACTATAACACAGACTTCTGACTCCTTATGTATTGATCTATCTATTTGATCACTCTACCTGTGATGTATATGAACTGATACTAGGAGAAAACTTCTCCACAAAATATACTGATCTGAAGAATAAATAAACCTTTTTGCCAAAAGCTTTTAAAATAAATCATAGACCACCGGGGAACCATTGCCCTGATTGTTAGTGCTTTTAGAAAGTCTCATTTTACTATAAACAGCTTTGTTCTCTTTGCTTGAGCCATGACAGAGAGCTATAGTATAGATAGGCAGCCTATCTTTTTTTTATTTTTTTTTTGAGCCAGAGTCTTGGTCTGTCTCCCAGGCTGGAGTGCAATGGCACAGTCTCAGCTCACTGCAACCTCCATCTCTCGGTTTCGAGCGATTCTCCAGCCTCAGCTTGCCCAGTAGCTGGGATTACAGGCGCCTGCCACTGCAACCAGCTAATTTCTGTATTTTTTAGTAGAAACGGGGTTTCGCCATGTTGACCAGGCTGGTCTCGAACTCCTGACCTCAGGTGATCCACCTGTCTCGGCCTCCCAAAATGCTGGAATTACAGCGTGAGCCACCAAGCCCAGCAGGCTGGCCTGTCTTTTAAAACCCCAACTCACTTATTTCAAACCAAAACAACCCATAAATGTGTTTATTCATTTGATGTCTTCAGATTTGAGTAGTCTGTACAACTTGAACTCTACAACTTTCCCAGTTGAGCCCCAAAATAAACTGCATTTGGCCAAAGAATCTGTGTTCAACAGGAACCATTGCAAAAACAATTGCCCCAAATGTGTGATCTGATTCTGACTGTAGTTTACACCATTTTCCACCTCAGTATATCTGCATATCACCTACTTTCATAAGTGGTTAATTTTACTGTGCTGCAATTGCTAAGAGATAGATTCTCCAATTAATATACATCATAATGACTCCACACATCCATTTGAACAACTGAAATAAAAATATTCTCACTTGCAGGATTCTTGGAACTGAGCCTACTCCCCTGGAAAGCACAGCCAAATCTGGTATCATTCTATCCAGCCTTATCCTGGTTCCAAATGATTTGGCACAGTCTCCCTTCAGGGACTCCTTAGCTGAAAGTCTCCTTTTGATTTAGTCATCTTAGCTCAGAAGGAGAGAGGTGCTAGTATTCAGAGTAATAGCAATAATAACTGAAAAAATGAGTGCCTCACTCATGGGCTTTGCTATCCAGTAAGGCTGAACTTCGGTCAAAATTAGCTTTCAAAGGATCAAGGAACCACTCTGACCAGACTCTGAAGTCATCTGGGATACTTTCTCCTTTCCTATCCTAAAAAATGGCAGGGTCACAAATAAATTTACAGTATTCTCTGGGAGATGCAAACTGCTGTAGGAAAAGGCAAACATGAGTTTAAAGACACAGGTCCTAGATCCACCTATACCACTAACAAGCTGAGTGAACCTAAGTGTCTTCACTTCACTGGCTCTCAGTTTTCCTGACTGTATTGTGAGGGATTTGGATCTCTATGGGCCCTTTCAGCCCCCAGAATCTATTACCCTGCTTTCTACTATTTGTCTCAGTATCTCTGAAAGCTAAATTTTCCAAAGCAAGGATTTTATACCCAAAAATCTTCCTTCACGATGCAGCTAGATAAATTATACACCATAAAAAATTAAATTGACTTTTATTGGCCGAATATGTCAAGTTGTCCCAATGAGTCTCACTGAATATACTCTTCTTACCACTTTGTGCCATCTTCTCTGGTCCCACTCTCTAAAGAGCCCTCATCAAAGAGTGAGCTGCATCACAGACTCCATGCTCCTGGCATAATGAAGAGGACTGATGGCATTAACGTTAACTTTGGACTCTGGTCAAACTCAACAGTAATTATCTTTGCTCCTGTTGTAAGATGTCTGAGATGAGAAACCAGTGACAATTTTAATACAGACACTGGCCCCACATCCACCTCTGTTCTGATTTTTATGATCACACCAATCTTCCCACATGAAACCACCAATCCCCAGGTGCTAGGCATTAACTTACCCTGGAGCTTAGCTGGGATAAGCACTCTTGTTTCTTTGCAGGGAGTAAAGGGTAGAAAGCTTTACTCTGGCGGCATGGATCCTGCTGATAACTGACACATTTGTTGTTGAAAGAGGAAGTTGAGTTTATCTGGTGTCTCACCACAGAAACCTTATTTGCACAAATGAAAGGTAAGTCCCTTGAGCAAATGACGTTACTCAAATTTTATTTCTTTTTATTTCATTGGTGCAGAGAAATTCAAATAGCAGGGAGTCAGAGGCTATGCATACTCACACAATGGCTATATAACAGCCTTCCTCACCCTATCTCCTTCCTTGACAACCGACATATCTAGATTTTCACTGATTCCAGTAGGTTCCATGGTAAGATGAAATTTTCAGGAAAATCTAAAGAGTGTTTACCTAGTAACAAGAAAGCTACAGCTTGTGCAAGCCTGAGGGGCAAAGGCTGAGGAAACCTAAAAAATACAAGTCAAAATTAGAAACAGTAGAAGTACCTTTGCTTAAGTTGTTCCCTCCATCTGGAGTGCCCCTCTCCCAACCCCTTCATCTTGAGGCTCACAATTTAACACATAGTTTCATTATTTTTGTATATTTATTATCCCTTTACTAGACTGCACACTGCTTGAGGGTAAAGATCATGTCTGATTCATATCTGTATTCCCAATTTGTCCAGCACAAGGCATTTTCATGAATTGTTATTGAATGAATACATATGGGAATTAATAAATAAACAAATGCTCAAAGAATGCATGAATAAGTAAATGAACATTATTGATTACGGGGTCTCCCTCCAGTGTACTAAAATTCTGGTTTTTATGTACAGTGTATATGGGGCCTTCAAAACTATGTGAATACAGGAAGATCATACACTTGAGGACTACAGTGTCAACTAAGTCTGAGAGTAGTTTTGAGAAACGAGGTTTAAAATGCAGCACAAACCCCTGTTGGCGTGTAAGGGAAAGAGAAGCTGACAGTATTGGAAACTAAGAGCTTGGGATGATTGATGGAAATGTCATAACTTGTGAAGACTGGCATCATCCTGGCTGATGTATGTCAAATGAAACAAGTTTAGCCTTTCAATCCCCTTCTTAATTTTGATTTCAAATGTTTATTCAGCTCCTATCTTTTGTTAATTTAGGTTTCTGAATTGGCATCCCTACTGAAAAGAGAATACACTGACAGACCAACACACATCTCAGTCCATTTGGCAGTTGTGTTCCTCCCTATGGTTAGTGTGAGCCAGTTTTCCTAGGGTAAGATTCTTCTCTGAACAAACAAAAAAATTCCAGACCTGTTGAGCTTTGAAGGCAAACCCTGGGATCCAGAAATACAAGAAATCCTTTTCTTACAACTGGCTATGATCACCACATCCCAACTTTATTTCACAGACAAAACCTTCACATTGCGAGAAGGAAACCTACCAGTTTACTTCATTTCTGTCTTGCACGCAAGCAGCTTCTTCTGTCACTGACCCTAAAAAGGGAAGAAAAATAAAACCAGAAGTCAGTGTCCCAATTCAAATGAAAAATTTTAACTCAGGTAAATTTTGAGTGTTAATTATTGATATGGTTTGGCTCTGTATCCCTTCCCAAATCTCATCTTGAATTGTACTCCCATAATTCCCACGTGTTGTGGGAGGGACTTGAAGGCAGTTCATTAGAATCATGGGGGCAGTTTCCTCCAGTTTCCTCCATACTATTCTCCTGGTAGTTAATAAGTCTCATGAAATCTGATGGTTTTATAAGGGGTTTCTGCTTTTGCATCTTTCTCATTTTCTCTTGCCACTGCCATGTAACAAGTGCCTTTTTCCTCCCACCATGATTCTGAGGCCTCCCCAGCCATATGGGACTGTTAAGTCCAATTAAACCTCTTTTTCTTCCCAGTCTCAGGTATGTCTTTATCAGCAGCATGAAAACAAACTAATACAATTATAATGAACAAATCTGTGGAGAAACAAAGCAAGCTGATAACCTAACAGTCATCTCCAATTAACTTTTAAAAGAAAGTCTTTTTGTTACTAGGTACGACTTATGGTTTACAAATCATTATAAACTAAAACAAAGTAATAAGTACCCTAATTATAAGATTCTTAAAAGTAGTGCAGTTGTACTATTTTACCAATAGTTCTAAATTCTTTCCTTATTCTTATGTATGTCATCAAAGTTTACTTTAAATGATGAATTATGTCTTCCATAGGCTGGGGAAAGTTTATGATTTGGTGCTTCAAAGGCTTTAAATTCTCTCTAACAGTATCAATAAATGAGGAGTGATAGCTATTGTTGAGAATGTTATTCATTACCATATATTGTGTTTCCTAGGTAACCCTAGAGCTCTATATGATTTAGTATGAGGAGAAGCTAGGTTTTTCCTAAGCAAATGGTTAAATTTTATTTTTATGAATACTGACTTTGTAATTGGTCATGTGTCTCTTTTTACAAAGTCTGATTAAAAATCATGAACCAACATAGAATCTACTGGTAGCAAGTGTGGAGATTTTTTATGGTGTGCTTTGTGGGATTCATTTTTATCATATCTCAATTTTTATGTCTTTGCCAATTTTGTCATTATTATTTTTTATCCACTTTAACTTATATTATCTTCTTATAACATTCTTCCTTTGAAACAACTTTCAGTCCTTTCTGGAACATAGTGGAATCCAAAAATGAAAAATAAAGGACAGAGTGAACTGTGAACCTCAATTCTTTTTAAATTAGAACTAGTGAAGCTAAATTGCTTTAGGTAAAATACCTTCAAGAGTTTTCCATGTCTGATTATATATCTGCAGAGTATTCCTATGCATTTTTGAAAACTAATCATTTAACAAATACTTAATGAACTACAACAATGAGAAATCTCTCCAAAGCTGTGGAGGAAGGCTGAGTTTGGGAAACAAAAAATATGTTTCCTATCCTCCAAGAGTCTACAGTTTATGTGACAAGTTAATTATTCATAAAATAGTTAGAAAATGAAGCACAGTACATACTTGACTGTTAAATTGTATGGAAATTAAGAAGATAAATTAACCATGGGCTGAACCTGTTGGAGAAGGTTTTCTGGTCCTTTCTTGATGGGCAAGTTTTGCTTTAAGCAGTGTTTCCCAGAGAATAAAATGTCCTAGTGGAGACATACCAAGATTTTTTTATTTTAGGTGGTACAAAGAAAAGCTTAAAAATTTAAAGCTATATATTTATTTTAAACCTTTAAAATATAATAAAATTATCCATACAAATTTATGATTTCTTAGATAATATTTCTTAAGAGGAGGCTAAAGTAGGTAACTAAATTTTAAATACTGTGATTATTCACAAAAAACTACACAAAAACCCCACAAAACTATAGAGGGTATGCAAATAACAAAATCTGTGGAGAAACATTTGAGTGTCTGCAGTTTAGAAAATTTAAAGAGAGTAGAGAAGGCAAGAGATTCCAAGAGAGAGAAAGAATATTGCTGAGGACATGAATGGAGAATAAACATGTAGAATAAACATGTACTGTTTGTGTGAGAATGAGGGCAAGATTTTGTCTGACCCATAAGGCATGCTGGAAACAGAGGGAAAGAAGCTTGGAGGATGGAGTTCTACAAAAATGCCTTAGAGTATAGAAGCCATGGAATACAGGAAGTAATTGAAAGGATATAAACAGAGTCGGAGGAGGGAAAATAAAATTATTAGTTACTGAGTACTTTCCATGTCCTATCACCATTCTAGGCAATTCGCCCACATCATCTAATTTAATTCATCAAACAATCCTATGGAGTAGGGACTAATATTATCTCCCATTTTCTGCATTAATGAATTCAAGCACAGAGAAATTAATTAACTTCCCAAAGATTGTAAACAAGGAAGTGGGAGAGGCAAGATTCAAATTCATATGTGCCTTGCTCAACAGCCTGCTTCCTTTCTACAATTCTTTGAATGATCACGGAGATAATAGTATACAGAATGGATTGCAGGAGGGGGCAAAACAGGAGGTGAAGATCTCTTTTAGAGAATAGACCATTACATTTGAGGTAATTAGAGCCTAGATTGGGACAATGACTGTAAGAATGAAGATAGAGAGTAGTTTCCAAAAAATATTTTTCTCAAAGAGCTCTTAAAACTGTAATCAGTAAAATGAAAGAGGAAATGAATTTTCACGAATAGGAATAAATAAATCTTTCAAGGGGTTCATTTTTTGCATATTTTCCATTAAGACTTTTTTTGAGTCATATGATGAAGTATATCTTCTTTCAGTGAGAAAAACATACTTTGTAGCTGGAAGAGAGGTTCTTTTTTCTGAACCCAGAGGCTCGTTTTGGAGACAAGTTTACCACTTGGCCAGTTCTTGAGGGTCCCTGTGCAGAATCTATAGTCTTGACAAGGAAAATGATTCACATAATATAAATTTTTAATGAATTCTGTTTCAGAAAATTTTCATAAGAAAAGATTTTATTCAGTCAAATAACTGGCCATTTGGGTCAATGTGCTGTGTATTAACCAGAAAAATGAGATTTCAATAAATTCTAGGTGATCTCTTTGATGCCCATTTAGTCAAAGCCATAAACAATGAGCAAGACGCCAAGGAATGAGGCAAAGAATGGGATCTCTTGTCTCAGTTTCACACTTCAGGCATTGTGCTATGAGACTTATTAACTTTCATATGTGTCACCAGGATTGATCATTGGGAAAACAGTGGAATAGGTGAAGACTGTATTTGCACCCTATCTTCCCTGACTAGCCTTTTTGTTCAGCATTCTTCTCAAGGATATGGTATGCTTCCAGACCCTCTGGGTTCCCGTTCTTACAAAATAAAGTGATCAGAGTAGGCTCTTCATACTAAAATAGAAAAAAGTATTTAGGAAGAGGACACTACAAACACAGAAGATTAGATTCTAACTGTCTGCAATTTTAGGCACTGACAAGCAATGAAAGATTGTCCAAATCAGCATTCCTCAAATAAGTAAACTTTTTGGTCTCAGAGCAATTTACACTCTTAAAAATTATTTAGGATCTCAGAGAGCTTTTGTTTATGTGGGTTATATCTATTGATATTTACTATATTAGGCATAGATGTCAATTTTTAAAAAAATTCATGTATTTATTAAAATAATAAATTTGTTACATATTAATAAAATAACTTATTTTATAAAATATAACAAATTTACCAAAATAAAAGAAGAGTGACATTGTTTTACATTTTTGCTAACTTCTTTAATCTCTGGCTGAACAGAAAATAGTTGTATTCTCATATCTTGTTTTGCATTCATTCTGTTGTAATACGTTGTTTTAGTTGTAATGTTGGGAATAATCTGGCCTCACATGGGTGTGTAGATAAAAAAAGGGAGGAGTGTTTGAATAGCCTTTTCAGAAAAACGTACAAATTTTTCTTTCATACCAAACCAAAATTAGATAAGTAGTAGCTTTTTACAGGATAATAACAATGTGGATTCTGAAAACATACTGATGAACATTTTCTACTCTATTTCAATATAATTCATTTGTCTATATTGTACTTTGAATGATCCCTTAAGTGTGTATTATTGAAAACAACATGCTTTGGTCTTTTGGAGAATATTGGTTCACTGAGTTATGCAAATGTTGACAAAGTTTACCACACAGTATCACAAATACATCATATTTGTTACTATCACTACTAATCTCAACAGAAAACTGTTCATTTTATGAGATGAGCATCATTCTGATACCAAAATCTGGCAGAGACACTGTATTTTTTTGTTGTTGTTACAACAAAAAAATTTCAGGCCAATATCCCTGTTGAACATTGATGCAAAAAACCTCAATAAAATACTGGCAAAACAATTCCAGCAGCACATCAAAAAGCTTATCCACCATGATCAAGTAGGCTTCATCACTGGAATGCAAGGCTGTTTCAACATACCCAAATCAATAAACGTAATCCATCACATAAACAGAACCAATGACAAAAACCACATGATTATCTCAATAGATGCAGAAAAGGCCTTCGATAAAATTCAACACTCCTTCATGCTAAAAATTCTCAAATTAGGTATTGATGGAACATATCTAAAAATAATAAGAGCTATTTATGACAAACCCACAGCAAATATCATACTAAATGGGCAAAAACTGGAAGCATTTTTTTCTTGAAAACTGGCACAAGACAAGGATGCCCTCTCTTGTCACTCCTATTCAACATAGTATTGGAAGTTCTGGCCACGGTAGTCACGCAAGAGAAAGAAATAAAGGTTATCCAAATAGGAAGAGAGGATGTCAAATTGTCTGTTTGCAGATGACATGATTGTGTATTTAGAAAATCCCATCATCTCAGCCAAAATCTCCTTAAGCTGCTAAGCAACTTCAGCAAACTTTCAGGATACAAAATTAACGTGCAAACACAACAAGCATTCCTATACACCAATAATAGACAAATAGCCCAATCATGAGTAAACTCCCATTCACAATTGCTGCAAAAAGAATAAAATACCTAGGAATACAACTTACAAGGAATGTGAACGACCTCTTCAAGGAGAACTACAAACCACTGCTCAAAGAAATGAGAGGACACAAACAAATGGAAAAACATTACATATTCATGGATAGGAAGAATCAATATCGTGAAAATGGCCATACCGCTCAAACTAATTTATAGATTCAATGACATCCCCATCAAGCTACCATTGACTTTCATCTCAGAATTAGAAAAAACGACTTTAAATTTCATAAGGAACCAAAAAAGAGCCCATTTAGCCAAGACAATTCTAAGCAAAAAGAACAAAGCTAGAGGCATCATGCTACCTGACTTCAAACTATACTACAAGGCTACAGTAACCAAAACAGCATGTTACTGATGCCAAAACAGATATATAGACCAATGGAATAGAACAGAGGCCTCAGAAGTAATGCCACACATCTACAATCATCTGATCTTCAACAAACCTGACAAAAACAAACCATGGGGACAGAATTCCCTATTTAATAAATGATGTTGGGAAAACTGGCTAGTCACATGCAGAAAACTGAAAATGGACCCTTCCTTATACCTTATACAAAAAATTAACTCAAGATGGATTAAAGACTTCAATGTAAAACCCAAAACCATAACGCCCCTATAAGAAAACCTAGGCAATACCTTTCAGGACATAGGCATGGGCAAAAACTTCATGACTAAAACACCAAAAGCAATGACAACAAAAGCCAAAATTGACAAATGGGATCTAATTAAATTAAAGAGCTTCTGCACAGCAAAAGAAACTCTCTTCAGAGTGAACAAGCAACCTACAGAATGGGAGAAAATTTTTGCAATCTATCCATCTGACAAAGTGGTAATAACCATAATCTACAGGGAACTTAAACAAATTTACAAGAAAAAAACAACCCCACCAAAAATTGGGTGAAAGATATGAACAGACACTTCTCAAAAGAAGACATTTATTTGGCCAACAAACACATGAAAAAAAGCTCATCATCACTGGTCATTAGAGAAATGCAAATGAAAACCACAATGAGATACCTTCTCACGCCAGTTAGAATGGTGATCATTAAAAAGTCAGGAAACAATAGATGCTGGAGAGGATGTGGAGAAATAGGAATGCTTTTACACTGTTGGTGGGAGTGCAAATTACTTCAACCATTGTGGAACTAATTTGTGTGGAGATTCCTCAAGGATCTAGAACCAGAAATACCATTTGAACCAGTAATCCCATTTCTGAGTATATACCCAAAGGATTATAAATCATTCTACAATAAAGATACATGCACACGTATGTTTATTGCAGCACTATTCACAATAGCAAAGACTTGGAACCAACCCAAATGCCCATCAATGATAGATGAGATAAAGAAAATGTGGCACATATACACCATGGAATACTATGCAACTATAAAAAAGGATGAGTTCATGTCCTTTGCAGGGACATAGATGAAGCAGGAAACCATCATTCTCAGCAAACTAAAACAGGAACAGAAAACCAAACACCACATATTCTCACTCATAATTAGGGGTTGAACAATGAGAACACAGGGACACAGGGAGGGGAGCATCACACACCAGGGCCTGTCACGGGGTGGGGGGCTAAGAGAAGGATAGCATTCAGAGAAATACCTAACCTAAATGACGGGTTAATGGGTGCAGCAAACCACCATGGCACATGTATACCTATGGAACAAACCTGCACATTCTACACATGTATCCCAGAACTTAAAGTACAATGAAAAAAAAGAAAAAAGCAAGAGTTGCACAAAGAAAAAAACAGACATATTCCATACTATCCAAAGCAATCTAAAGATTCAGTGCAAACCCTATGAAAACACCAATGACATTCTTCACAGAAATAGAAAAAAAAATCCTAAAATTCATATGAAACCCCCAAAGACCCCAAATAGTTAAAATAAAAAATTCTAGGCCCAAAGAACAAAGCTAATGGCATTACACTCTTTGTTTTCACAATGTATTACAAAGCTATAATAATCAAAATAGCATGGCAGTGGTATAATAAAGAAACACAGACTAATAAAACAAAATAGAGAACCCAGAAATAAATCCATGCATTTACAGTTAACCCAATTTTGACAAAGGTGCCAATAATATACACTGGGGAAAGAATAGTCTCTTCAATGAATGTTACTAGGAAAACTGGATATCCACATGCAGAAGAATGACACTAGACGCCTATCTCTTGCCATATACAAAAATAAAATCAAAATAGACTACAAACGTAAATCTAAGACCTGAAACTACAAGACTACTAGAAGAAAACAGTGGGAAAACTCTCCAGGAAACTATCCAGGACAATGGTCAGAGCAAAGATTTCTTGAGTAAAACCTAAAAAGCACAGGCAACCAAAGCAAACATGCACAAATGGGATAATATCAAGGTAAAAAGCTACTGCTCAGCAATGGAAACAATCAACCAAGTGAAGAGACAACACAGAGAATCAGAGAAAATATTTGCCAACTACCCATCTAACAATAAAAATATATAAGAAGCTCAAACAACTCAATAGGAGAAAAAAAACACAAATAATCAGATTTTTAAAATGGGCAAAAGACCTGAGTAGACATTTCTCGAAAGAAAACATACACATGGCAAGCAGGTGTACGAAAAAATGTTCAACATCACTAATTGTCAGAGAAATGCAAATCAAAACTACACTATCATCTCATTACACTTAAAATTACTTTTATCCAAAAGACAGGCAAATAATAAATGCTGGCCAGGACGTGGAGAAAGAGGATTGTTCATACCCTGTTGGTGGGAATGTAAATTAGTACAGCCACAGTGGAAAACAGCATGGAGGTTCTTCAAAAACTAAAAATAGAATATCACATTATCCAACAATCCCACTGCTGGGTATATATCCAAAAGAGAGGAAACGAGTATATCAAAGAGATATGTGCACTCCCATGTTCATTGCAGCACTATTCACAATAGCAATATATAGAATCAACCTAAATGTCTATCAACAGATGAATGGGAGGGGAGGGCAAGGTGGCCAACCAGACACAACCATGTGGAACAGCTCCTATGGAGGGACCCAGACGACTGGCATGTTGCTAACAGATCTTCAGAGAGAAGGCACTGAGAGTGGACAGAGGGAAGATACAGAAGCTGGGTTGAAGGGGGAGAAAGTTGGGAACTCTATGCAGGACATTACATCTGGAATCATCGCTGCCCCCGCAGGGCTCCAAGAGAACCAATGAGTTGAACTGGAAAGGAGCAACCTGCTCTCGCCACAAGCTTTTGGAACCCCTCACCATGGACAATCTAGTTGGCAGGTAGAGCTGCTTAGAGAATGGGTGGAGCAGCAAGCCAGCTGAATGTGCAGCAGCACAGAAGATTTGGTGTGGGAGTGTCTGTAGCTGAGCACAGCCAAGGATGACTATCCCCCTAAGCTCAAGTCGCTCCCATAGGAGAGTTTAGCCCGATGAGAACTGTCATCCTGAACTCTGAAGGGCAGTCTTGCCAGTCAGGTGGGGCCAGTCCAACCTGAGCACCCATTGGTCATCTGGCCTTTCTCTGGCCCCCAGCCTACCCACACTTGCTTGCAGGGCAGCCTGGGGTGCCCTGGAACCCACACCATAGCTTCTGCGATGGCAGACCGTGACTGAAAGGTGGAGAGTCCCTAAGGCCAAGCACCAGCCCAAGTGCTCCCTCTCCTTACTGCAGCCTTCCCCGGAACCACTGGCAACTCCCCACGTCGCTTTGCTGGTGTGTGTCTTTTGGGGCCTGTTTTGCTTTCCTTGCCCCGCCAGCTCATAGGAGTGCAGTCCTTCCCCACTCACCCCTCTGACTGCCAATGCTAGAAGAGCCTTGGTGGGCACAGAGCCCGCCAGCCCTGCCCCGACCAGTGCCCCACTCTTGCACTAACAGTGGGCAGAGAACAGCAGATCCTCCCCCACCTCCCCCGAGTGACTACTCCTGCTTGAGGGGCACAGAGAAGGCACCCAGACTTGTGCTTGCCAGTACCCCACCTCAGAGAAAACACCACCTCCAGCACCCAGTCACCTGCACACAGTCGCCCGGCAGGGCAATCCCCCAACCCCCTCCCGCAGCCCCTTCCTCCATCCACTGTCCCCCTCCAGCTGCATTGCCTCTGCCACTGTGTTGAACACCAGAAGGGAGGCAGGCATCCTGGCACTCACCGGCACTAGCTAGCACTCTGCCACAGTTGCCACTACTGCTGCTGCTGGCATTTGAGAATGAGGAGGGATCCTGCCGTCACTGTACTAGAAATGTTTTGTCAATACACCCTTTAGAGTGAAATGGTGTCACTACACCCATTAGAGTGTAGTGATCAGCATTCCAGCAGCACCACAGCTCTGGCAGCTTGCTGGATTCCTAACTTTAAGGAGCCAGAGAACAAAGTCAGGGCCCAACACAAGTCCCCCAAAGTTAGAGTATGCAGTCCAGGAATCAGGAGCTCAGTGTTGGCTGTTGGCCCCCTAACATCTTCTACAATTGAAGCCAGTTGGCTGAATCCACCTTATCCTACTACCAAACACTCAATGTCACCAGATAAGATAGAAGAAGAAAAAAAAAATCTGAAGGTCAGCATCCTCCAAGATCAAAGGAAGATAAGACCACAAAGATGAGCTCAGCATCACTGATGATTAGAGAAATAAAATCAAAACCACAATGAGATACCATTTCAGGCCAGTCAAGTTGGTTGTTGTTAAAAATTCAAAAATAACAGATGCAGATGAAGTTGTGGAGAAAAGGAATGCTTATACACTGTTGGTGGGAGTCTAAAGTAGTTCAACTATTGTAGAAGACAGTGTGATTCCTCAAAGACCTAAAAGCAGAAATACCATTCAACCAAGCAATCTCATCACTGAGTATATACCCAAAGGAATATAAAGCATTCTGTTATAAAGACACATGCACACGTGTGTTCATTGCAGCACTATTCACAATAGCAAAGATATCGGCTCAACCTTAATACCCATCAATGATAGACTGGATAAAGAAAATGTGGTACAAATGCAGCATGGAATACTATGCAGCCATAAAAAAGAACAAGATCATATCTTTTGCAGGAACATGGATGGAGCTGAAGGCTGTTATCCTTAGCAAATTAATGCAGAAACAGAAAACTAAATACTGCATTTTCTCACATATAAGTGGAGCTAAATGATGAGAATACATAGACACATAGAAAGAAACAATACACACTGAGGCCTACTGGAGGGCGAAGGATGGGAGGAGGGAGAGGATCAGGAAAAATAACTAATGGTTACTGGGCTTAATACCTGAGTGACAAAATAATCTGTAAAAAAAAAATGACACAAGTTTACCTGTATAACAAACCTGTGCATGTACCCTGTACTCGAAAGTTAAATATAAAAAAGATAGAAAGAAAGAGAAGAAATAACCCCAAAATAAATAAATTAGGCACTTCGAAAAGGGCCAGATAGCAAATATTTTCAGCTTTCTAGATCACACAGTCTGTGACAACTCCTCAGCTCTGTCACTGTAGCACCAACATAGCCATAGACAGTATCTAAACATATGCACGTGGCTATGTTCCAATAAAACTTTATTTATGGGCACTGAAATTCGCTTTTCATATAATTTTCATTCTTTAGCTAGGCTACTGAAATAGTCTCCCAATTGTTCACATTGCCATATATATGCCCTACCCAGAGCTATGAGCTTCCTTTACTTCAAGTTCAGCTTAATCATGTCCTTTTCCCTGCTCAGAAACCTTCAATAATTCACCACTGTGCACCAGTTCTTTGCTAAACTCTTTTACTTGGATTTCAAAGCCCTATGGTTTCATACTTTTCTATCCTCCCTTATGTACATATTACCAGTGGTACATTGTATCTCAAGCAAACTGGATTATCACTATTTCATAAACACATTAGACTTTATCTCCAAGCTTTGGTATGAGTTATCTTCCTGAAGCCCTCTTGTCCTCTCTTCTGTCAGTTGAAATTCTGCCCATCGTTTTGTCAAGATTCTGTCCAAACTCCCCCTCTTACACAATATTATTTCTATTCCCTTTTTTTTACCTTATTGGATAGGACCTTTCCATTTTCTGAACCTCCAGAACATTTAGGCATTTATATTCTGTTTGGCATTTTAGTTCTATATGTACTTGTCTTATGTATTGTGCCCCTTCCCCCAACTAGATGGCAAGTTCTTGTCATATATATGACAGGTGCTCAGTAATTTTATTGAATGTATTTAATCTAGTAGCTATCAAGTTAGGATCATTATATGTATGGCACAGGGAATCTTCTGCTTTTATTTCATGATTAGGGATGAAGATGCAAATATAAAATGTCTGGGAATCTTTGCTTGTAGTAAGGGTATTTTACTTGTAAAGGTAAAGTAAAATACTGACGTATATTTTTGCAATGACTCCAAATTTAGAGAACACTTTTGGTATGAATTCAAATCAAAAGGTAAATGTTTTGAGCCCCTAAAGTATTTTTAAATTCTATTATATTTTCCTTTTGCAGTCAAATCATCTTGTTTGTTTTTTACATTTATAAAGCAATTGCAATGCCTCTATTCACCAGAACTTCCCTCTATCTAAGGAAAAGCACAATAGATAAATAAGCTGGCTTCCAGTTCCAGCTCTGCTATAAAATGCAGATAATAACCCTTGCCTCCGAAGACTTCTGCAAGAATCAAGTGCAAAAACACATGTGAAACAAATGGCTTTGAAAGAGAGCAAAACGTGATACTGAAGTCAGTATCGCTAGATGCTTCATTGATCTCCAATAAAAATATTAGATAATTATCAGCCATTAAAAACCGTACTTACATTAAGTTACATAAAATTGTTCTTTTTCTTTCCTGGTCAAAGAAGAGTGTATAGATTCCAAAAGTTGATATCATAAAGTCATCTTAGCAACCAAAAGATAAACAAGAATAAACAATTCAATTACTAAGTGATTAACCTGCCAAAAAATCATCTGGCTTGTAAACCTGGATCCAGCTTTATTCCAAGTGTTTTCCCTTGCTCTTTGCATTTCAGCCTAATTATATTTTAGAGTATACAGAAACAGGAAGCCAGTAATGCATTTGCTGAGGTCATCCTTGGTCCTTTTCCTTGATCAGATCTCTTGCAGCTGTGGAGTAACTTATACTAGATTCTCATGGGGGGAAACTGCTTACTAATTCAAGAAGTTACCCTGGAGTCTGGCAGCTTCACTATTTTTCAAAAATTAAATAGTTTATCTAATCGCCCTAATTTGAAATAAGTTTGATGCACAAAATGTGGAGAATTTCAAATTTATTCAGAATCCTTAAAAGTCTCTAAGAGCACAAGTATGCTACCATTTCAAATTGGTTGTATGTATGCGTTTTGTCACGGTACCAAGATGTTATTCAAGAGCAGGGCAAGTTTTCTAATGCTTAAATACTCAATATATCCCAAAGCAAACATTTCAAATATATGTGGTCTAGATTCCAGAATGAATGTTTATCTAGTCATGTTTTTAATAAAGGATCAACCCGGCTTGCTGTCTTCCAAAGTCTTCTACAAAATTTTATTTTCACTCCAAGAAAAATTGGTGAATTTAATGAAAAATTTTAAAATAGGCAAAATATCAGATCACATAAGATTATATTTTGAACATCCAATGTCGATAAGAATATGAGGAATCCGCTATTCTCAGACAATGTTTTGAAGGATAATTTGGCAAGTTCTAGAAACATTTTATTTTATTTTATTTTATTTTATTTTATTTATTTATTTTTTTGAGACGGAGTCTCGTTCTGTCACCCAGGCTGGAGTGCAGGGGTGCGATCTCGGCTTACTGCAAGCTCCACCTCCTGGGTTCACGCCATTCTCCTGTCTCAGCCTCCCCAGTAGCTGGGACTACAGGCACCCGCTACCACGCCGAGCTAATTTTTTTTTATTATTTTTAGTATAGACGGGGTTTCACCATGTTAGCCAAGATGGTCTCGATCTCCTGACCTCGTGATCCTCCCACCTCAGCCTCCCAAAGTGCTGGGATTACAGGCATGAGCCACCGTGCCCTGCCTAGAAACATTTTAAATGCATATACCCATTGATCCAACAATTTCACTTTTATAAAATTTTCACTCAAGTCTTATGAATACAGGAATGAGCAGATATTCAACAAGATAGATTTTCATTGCTGTAAAACTATTCTCATACACCTAGTGCCACCTTAAATTATAGCAGTACGTAAATTAATGAAACTCTAATTCAATAAAACTATTGATAAATCACTAGCAACTATTTGAAGCCCTTTACACTTATTAATGTATTTGAACCTAGGATCTATCTAATTATATGTAATTAGAAATGGCCTCATTTTTCTTTTATTTATTTTATTTTACTGATGAAGAAACATACCCAGGAAGTTGCAACTTGTCCAAGATCACATAGTGAACTTCATGAAAGACATGAGTACTACTGGAGGAGAGAGAAAATGAGGAGGGCAAAGGTTGAACAACTATTGGGTACTATGATGCTACCTGGGAAATAGGATCATTTGTGCTCCAAACCTCAGCATTATACAATTTACCCATGTAACAAACCTATGCATGCACTCCTATAATCTAAAATAAAAGTTGAAATTATTTAAAAAAGAAGCCTAGGTTGATCTGCTTTTAAAAATAGTAGGAAAAAAACCCTTTTACATACACGTGCACACCCAAAATGTGTATAAAGTAATTGCTATGCACAATAACTATTGTTATTTAACTGGGTGAGAAAAGAGAAGTATTTGTACAGAAGACTCACAGGGAAAGAAGTCACAAGATTTTAGGGTTATATAAGCCTTAGAGAAGGATAACAGGCCATGAAAAATGCTCCATGGAGTTTGGCTTAGGATGTCCTATTTCCCGTAGCAGATATTATGCCCTCATGTAATGATATGGTTTGGCTGTGTCCCCAACCCAAATCTCATCTTTTCAGTAACTCCCACAATTTCCACATGTCATGGGAGGGACCTAGTGGGAGGTGATTGAATCACGGAGGCGAGCCTTTTTCATGCTTTTCTCGTGATAGTGAATAAGTCTCATGAGCTCTGATGGTTTTATAAAAAGGAGTTCCCCTGCACATGCTCTCTCTGTGTCTGCCGCCATCCATGTAAGACATGACTTGCTGCTCCTTGCCTTCCACCATGATTATGAAGCATCCCTAGCCACGTGGAACTGTAAGCCTAAGACACGTCTTTCTTTTGTAAATTGCCCAGTCTCAGGTGTGTCTTTATCAGCAGCATGAAAACAGACTAATGCAGTAAATTGGTACCAGTAGAGTGGGGTGCTGCTGTAGGTACTGGAAAATGTGGAAACAACTTTGGAACTGGGTAACAGGCAGGGGTTGTAACAATTTGGAGGGCTCAGAAGAAGACAGGGAAATGTGGAAATGATTGGAACTTCCTAGAGACTTGTTGAATGGCTTTGCTTAAAATGCTGATAGTGATATGGATGATACAGATAATACAGATTCTTCTGTATCTGGCAGAATAAATTACTAAGCAGCAAAGCATTCAAAAGATGAATTGGGTGCTGTGACAGGTCTTCAGTTTTATAAGGAAAGTAGAGAATAAAAGTTTGGAAAATTTGCAGCCTGGCAATACTATAGAAAACAAAATTCATTTTCTGAGGGGAAATTCAAACCAGCTGCAGAAATTTGCATAAGTAATGAGGAGCTGAATATTAATCCCCAAGACAATGGGGAAAATATCTCCAGGGTATGTCAGAGGTCTTCACAGCAGACCCTCCCATCACAGGCCTGGAGGCCTAGGAGGAAAAAGTGGTTTCATGGGCCGGGCCCAGGGTCTTCATGCTGTGTGCAGACTAGGGACTTGGTGCCCTGCATCCCAGTCACTCCAGTCATGGCTGAAAGGGGCAAACATGGAGCTCAGGCTGTGGATTCAGAGGGTGTAAGCTCCAAGCTTTGGCAGCTTCCACATGGTGTTGAGCCTGCAGATGCACAGAAGTCAAGAATTGAAGTTTGGAAACCTCTGCCTAGATTTCAGAAGATGTATGGAAACACCTGGATGCCCAGGCAAAAGTTTGCTGCAGGGGTGGGTGGAGAACCTCTACTACGGCAGTGCTAAAGGGAAATGTGGGGTCAGAGCCCCCACACAGAGTCCCTACTGGGTCACCACCTAGTGGAGCTGTGAGAAGAGGGCAATCATCCTCCAGACCGCAGAATCGTAGATCCACTGACAGCTTGCACTGTGCATCTGTAAAAGCTGCAGACACTCAATACCAGCCAATAAAGGCATCCAGGAGGAAGGCTGTACTCTGCAAAGCCATAGGGGTGGAGCTCCCCAAGGACATGGGAGCCCACCTCTTGCATCAGTGTGACCTGGATGTGAGACATGGAGTCAAAGGAGATCATTTTGGAGCTTTAAGATTTGACTGCCCCACTGGACTTCGAACTTGCATGGGGCCTGTAGCCCATTTGTTTTGGCCAGTTTTTCACATTTGGAATGACTGTATTAACTCAATGCCTATACCCCATTTTTTTCTAGGAGGGAACTAACTTGCTTTTGATTTTACAGGCTCATAGGCAGAAGGGATTTTCCTTTTCGTGGATGAGACTTGGATTTTGGACATTTGAGTGAATGCTGAAATGAGTTAAGACTTTGGGGGACTGTTGGGAAGGCATGATTGGTTTCAAAATGTGAGGACATGAGATTTTGGAGGGGCCAGGGGTGGAATGATATGGTTTGGCTGTGTCCCCATCCAAATCTCATCTCGATAGTAACTCCCACAATTCCCATGTGCTGTGGAAGGGACCAAGTGGGAGGTGATTTTATCATGGGGGCGAGTCTTTCTCATGCTATTCTCATGATAGTGAGTAAGTCTCAGAAGATGTGATGGTTTTATAAAGAGGAGGTTCCCTGCACATGCTCTCTCTCTTTTTGCCTGCTGCCATCTATGTAAGATATGAGTTGCTGCTCCTTGTCTTCACCATAATTCTGAAGCCTCCCCAGTCATGTGGAATTGTAAGTTCAATAAACCTCTTTCTTTTGTAAATTGCCCAGTCTTGGTTATGTCTGTATCAGCAGCATGAAAACGAACTAATACACATGATTTCTGGTAGGCTTTGGGGATGATGCATGTGGTAGCCTCAAGTAGGTAGCTCATGGGGTTTAAAGTCTGGATTGAATGAGACAATAATTTCTCCTACATTCTCTAGATCTTCCCATCACAAATAAAATCCCTATTATTTCTATGGAGACCCAGCTCAACTCTACCAGGCCATGGAGACTGGCCTTCAGAACAAAATAGTGCTCTTGAGTCACTGCATCTATTTTTTTAAAATTTTCCAGCTTATTAAAGTATAATTTGCAATTAAAAATTATATATGTTTAAGTTGTATTACTTGGATAATTTGATATACCTATGTATTGTGAAATAATCACCAGTTTTTGAACTTAACATATATCGATTAATGTAGCTACCACCACAATCAGGGCACAGAACAGTTCTACCACTCCCCAAAACTTCCACATGGTATGCGTTTATAGTCACATTCCTATATCAACCACTGATCTGTTCTCCAACACTATATATAGTTTTGTCTTTTCAAGAATGTAATAAGATAAAATCATACAGAAGGAAACCTTTGGATAGTGGCTTCTTTCACATAGCATAAGTCTTTGAGATTCGTACAAGTTGTTGCATGAAGTTCAAGTAGCTTTTTCCTTTTTTAATTTTTTCTTTCAATTTTTATTTTTTTTATTTCCATAGGTTATGGGGTACAGGTTGTGTTTGGTTAGATGAGTAAGTACTTTAGTGGTAATTTGTGAGATTTTGGTGCACCCATCTCCTGAGCAGTATACACTGCACTCTATTTGTAGTCTTATCCATCATCCTCTTCCCACCCTTTCCCCCAGAGTCCCCAAAGAACATTATGGTCATGTTCATGCCTTTGCATTCTCATAGCTTAGCTCCCACTTATGACAGAAAACAATGTTTGATTTTCTATTCTTGAGTGACTTCACTTAGAATAATAGTCTCCAGTCTCATCCAGGTCACTGTGAATGCCATTGATTCATTCCTTTTCATGGCTGAGTAGTATTCTATCATATATATATATATCACATATATGTATCATATATATATCACATATATGTATCATATATATATCACATATATGTATCATATATATATCACATATATGTATCATATATATATCACATATATGTATCATATATATATCACATATATGTATCATATATATCACATATATGTATCATATATATATCACATATATGTATCATATATATCACATATATGTATCATATATATCACATATATATATCATATATATATCACATATATATATCATATATATATCACATATATATATCATATATATATCACATATATATATCATATATATATCACATATATATATATCATATATATATCACATATATATATATATCATATATATATCATATATATATATCACATATATATATATATCATATATATATATCACATATATATATATATCATATATATATATCACATATATATATATATCATATATATATATCACATATATATATATATCCACTCGTTGATTGATAGGCATTTGGTTCGGTTCCACGTTTTTGCAGTTGCAGATTGTGCTGCTATAAACATGCGTGTGCAAGTGTCTTTTTTGTATAATAATTTATTTTCCTCTGGGTAGATGCCCAATAGTGGGATTACTGGATCAAATTGTACTTCTATTTTTCATTCTTTGAAGAATCTTCACACTGTCTTGCATAGTAGTTGTACTAGTTCACACTCCCAACAGCAGTGTAGAAGTGTTCCCTGTTCACCACATCCATGCCAACATCTATTATTTTTTTATTTTTTGATCATGGCTATTCTTTCAGGAGTAATTCGATATCATGTTGTGGTGTTGATTTGCATTTCCCTGATCATTAGTGATGTTCAGCATTTTTTCGTTTGTTGGGCATTAGTATACTTTCTTTTGAGAATTGTCTGTTCATGTCCTTATCCCACTTTTTGATGGGATTGTTTGTAATTTTCTGGCTGATTTGTTTGAGTTCATTGCAGATTCTGGATATTAGCCCTTTATCATATGTACAGATTGTGAAGATTTTCTCTCACTCTATGTGTTGTCTGTTTACTCTGCTGACTGCTCCTTTTGTCATGCAAAAGGTCTTTAGTTTAATTAAGTCCAAGTAATTTATCTTTGTTTTTATAGCATTTGCTCTTGGGTCCTTGGCCATGAATTCCTTGCCTGAGCCAATGTCTACAAGGGTTTTCCCAATGTTATCTTCTAGAATTTTTACAGTTTTAAGTCTTAGATTTAAGTCCTTAATCCATCGTGAGTTGATTTTTGTATAAGATTAGATATGAGGATTTAGTTTCACTCTCCTACATGTGGCAAGCCAATTATCGCAGCACCATTTGATAAAAGGTTGTCCTTTCTTCACTTTATGTTTTTGTTTGTTTTGTCAAAGATCAGTTGGCTATAAGTTTGTGGGTTTATTTCTGGATTCTCTATTTTGATCCATTGATCTATGTTCCTTTTTTTATACCAGTATCACGTTGTTTTGGTGAAATATGGCCTTAGAGTATAGTTTGAAATAGATAATGTGATGCCTTCAAATTTGGTCTTTTTGCTTAGTCTTGCTTTGTGTATGCAGGATATTTTTGGGTTCCATATGCATTTTAGAATCTTTTTTTTCTAATTCTATGAAGAATGATGGAATGGTAGTAGTTTGACCTAAATCATTCTATGAAGCCAGTGTCACCCTAATATCAAACCAAGAAAGGACCTAACCAAACAAGAAAACTACAGACCAATATTCCTGATGAACGTAGATGTTGAAATCCTTAACAAAATACTAACTAACCAAATCCAACAACTTATCAAAATGATAATTCTGCATGATCATGTGGGATACCAGGGTTGCAGAGACAGTTTAACACACACAAGTCAATAAATGTGATACAGCAAATAACCAGAATTAAAAACAAAAATTACATGATCATCTCAATAGATGCAGAGAAAGCATTCAACAAAATCCAGTATTCCTTTTTGATTAAAACTCTCAGAAAAATTGGCATACAAGGGACATACCTCAATGTAATAAAAGCCATCTATGACAAACTTACAGCCAACATAATACTGAATGGGGAAAAGTTGAAAGCATTCCCTCTGAGGACTGGAACAAGACAAGTATGCCTACCCTCACCACTCCTCTTCAACATAGTACTGGAAGTCCTAGCCAGAGCAATCAGACAAGAGAAAGAAATAAAGGGCATCCAAATCGGTAAAGAGGAAGTCAAACTGTTGCTGTTTGCTGATGACATGATCACTTACCTAGAAAACCCTAAAGACTCCTCCAAAAAGCTCCTACAACTGATAAAAAAAAAAAAAAAAAATTCAGCAGAGGCCAGGCGTGGTCGCTCACGCCTGTAATCCCAGCACTTTGGGAGGCTGAGACGGGCGGATCACAAGGTCAGGAGATCGAGACCATCCTGGCTAACACAGTGAAACTCCGTCTCTACTAAAAATACAAAAAATTAGCCGGGCATAGTGGCGGGCACCTGTAGTCCCAGCTACTCAGGAGGCTGAGGCAGGAGAATGACGTGAACCCGGGAGGCGGAGCTTGCAGTGGACCGAGATCGCGCCACTGCACTCCAGCCTGGGCGACAGAGTGAGTCTCCGTCTCAAAAAAAAAAAAAAAAAAAAATTCAGCAGAGTTTCCGGATACAAAATTTATGTACACAAATCAATAGCTCTTCTATAAACCAACAACAAGCTAGCTGAGAATCAAATAAAGAACTCAATCCCTTTTAAAATAGCTGCAAAAAAATAATAAAATACTTAGGACTATACCTAATAAAGGAGGTGAAAGACCTCTAGAAAAAAAAAACACTGCTGAAAGAAATTATAGATGGCACAAACAAATGGAAACACATCTCATGTTCATGGATGGGTACAATCAATATTGTGAAAATTGACCATACTGCCAAAAACATCTTTTTATTTTGGTTTAGTAAAATTCCATTCCCTTCTTTCTTTGTGGCACTGGTTATGAGCTGGGCTACTAGCCTCTGGGGCCATGCTAAGAGAAAATACAAGCTGAAGAGCAAACGATGCTGTGTCACTATGAATCAGCAGCTGGGAAATGGAAAGACATTTCACTAAAAAATGAAAGAGCACTTTACAGGTTTTCTTTCAGTATTGAACTTTAAGAAGATCTTCTCCCAGAGCTAAGTCTTTAGGTGGTTTCCAAAGTGTAAATAAAGCTTAGACCAGTGCAGGGAAGTTCCTCAGCATGGTCTCAAGACAGAAATGACTGCCTAATGAAGGTCAGGTGCTGGACTGGACAGTGAGTTGAATCAGCTTTCCAGGAGAATCAAAGCTACTTGGCCAGTCCAAAGCTAACATGAAGTGGGGGGAGTCAGAAGGAGGTCAGTGGTAACAAAACTCTCATGAAGGAGCAAAGTAGGCAAGGAAAAGAGATCTCAGAGAAGAGTGTTACTGAGTCAGCACTGTCCAAAATCAGCTTATGAGCTGGACTTTGCTTTCATGCTGGGCGCTTATTTAACTTTCTTCAGAAAACTATGAGAAATGAGGTTTTTTGTTGTTGTTTGTTTTTTTAGGATACCCTCTTAAACTGTACAACTTTGCTCCCTAATCTCATTCACCAATGTATACTGGGCTTTGGTAAGCTATAAATAGAAGGAAGTATCAGTTGCTTCAAAACAACTTTAGTGTTTCAGAAACCAATTTCTCACTTCTCCCATTAGAAATATTAGAGTTTTATGTTTTCTAGTCCATGCTGAGAGAAAATTTTCTCCGTGTTTGAATATTTGTTTTACATATATTTATTTTCTCAAAAAACTAAAAAAATACTTCTGAAGCTCACATCAACCAAGTTGTTGAGTAATCCACTCCCTTTTCATGTTTTCTCCTTTGCTGAACTAAAAGTGGTATTTATAATGACATTAAGATCCTATGAAATTATTTTCCTCCCACTGGAATTTATTTATGTGTAAGAGGAAAGGGGTGAGTAGAGAGCCACTGAACTCACCCATCACCTAAATGAGGCTTGGGTTTGGCATTTTGGCACAAAACGAAGTTGAGCTGACACATCTCTGAGGTTAGGGCTTCCTGGCTGTTGTGTTCAAGAGGGTATAAATTATCAGTGACACTAGTGACACTTTGTTGAAGAATATGTTAGGGGATTCTGTGCTGATAGAGAAGAGTGCATAAACTTTGAAAAAATGCATACTTGACAAACATAAAGGAAATGAGAAGAGTGGAAGAGAGAAATGGATTTACAAACAATACTAATAATAGTAATTATAATAATGACAAGAAGAGGGGGATAGTAAAGAAGTGAAAGGTGGAAAGATAAAGCAGGTAACTTTCTGCTTATCTGTGCCCTACTTGGCTTTCTGATATTGGGACCAGTTGATTTCTGGGTAATAAGGTTGGTGATTCAGGTCCCATGAGTTCTATGTGGTGCAATACCTGAGGAAATGCTACTAGACCATAAAAGTTTTGTCCTCATGGGCAACTCGTGAGGCTTATCCCTGTGGAAACTTTTCCATTGTCATTCACATTAGTCTGTAGATAAGAGCTAAATATACTCCCACCTAATGCCCATAGAAAATATTCGTGGGCTCTCTATTGCCAAATGCCATCCTGGAGATCAAGGCCCCATGAAACATGACAGAGGGCTCTCTGATCCCACCTCAACTACACAAGAATTTTTAAAATCCAAACCTCTGAGGTGAATGTGGTAGAGCACTGCAAAAAAAGGGGCTTTATTCTGTGTGGCCTAAAATTACTCCATGTGGAAAGCTTTCCGTCACCGTATCAGCTAACATGATTATATAGGAAAGGACATAAATTTCAGCCATAGAGATTGAGAGAGTATATTCTACTCCACTGTGTCCAGGAAACTCAGACCTTCTCTTCCATCAACAAAACCCAATCAAATGGTGATCTGCTAATGGAAATTTAAAATAGAGAAAAAAATAGAAAAATCGAAACAAGTATTGTATTCATCTCCTTTCACTGACTCCATTGCTAGACATGTTGCTAAAATAGCTCCTTCATTGTAAGAGCTTGAGAGCTATTGACATTGCAGATAAGAAAAAAGGCACATGTACCCTAAAACTTAAAGTATAATAATAATAAAATTAAAAAAAAAGAAAAAAGGCTCTAAAGTTAAACTCAGTCTCAAAGTTAATGTATTTATGCAGAAACAGAAGGAGAATTAAAGAAAACAGTAGGATTTCAACTCAAGGCCTTCACATTGTTCCTAGGATCATGGCTGATTACACATTCTAGGTCTTAACTAAATGTCATTATTTCATTTGAAATTCAGTGGCAATATACTTTTTCTCACTTGTTCTCAGAACATTTGGTGAGATCAATTCATTTATCCAGCAACCTTTGTTCCTTGATTTACTTAATTAACATTAATGTATTGGTCTTTATATTGACAGCATTCAGATCAGTGACAGGATTTTAACATATTAAAAGTAAATTAATATTTACCAAAGCAGCATGAGTGAAAGAAGAAATAAAACAACACAAATAATTTCAAGTTATTAAGAATATTAATGATGTTTGAGGGAAACAAAGATTCAAATATTCTCACTGTAGGAGTTCCATAAAAGATAACAATGAGTAACAGGTTTTGGTTTGGGGCCTGATTGTGAAGGAGGATCTAGAATGCCCGACCAAGTTTGGACTTTACCCAAAAGGTAATAAATACCTATTAGTCTATGGGTTTTTGCACAGATGACAACTTGAAAGTAGCGGTGTTTTAGGGAAAAAATAATTATGGAAACAAGGATATACCGAATGATTGATAAGGAGACGATATGGAAGATAGATTAGAAAAACCACTAGAATAGTCGATTCAAGAGGAAACAGGGTACTAAATTATAGTGGAGAGATTGAGAATAAATCAGAGGAGACAGATAGAAACTTCTTGATAAAAGAAATAGCAGAACTTGTAGCTTGAGAGGCTTCCACTTTTCTGACTGTATTCATAAAGACTGGCAACTTGTCACATATGAAGACCATGGGATAATTCCTTAGGCTCAGCTAGCATTAACCTACTATCAGATATGAAGAGCCTTCAGTAAATATTAACTTTTCAAATTAACTGGGAAAAGGTGGAAAACCATGATCTCTTTGGGTAACTTATGAGGTTGTGTGAGTAAGTACTCTGGTTATTAACAAGAAAATTAAACTAAATTCCCAGTTGTGAACATTTGCTGCTCAAATTTGATGTATCTGACAAGGTCACTTTATTTGTGCTGGAGCACCTTATTTGTGCTAGAGCTTAAGTTTTTCCATCAACTCTTTTGCGGAGAGATAAAATTTAAAATATATTCATTAGAAGAGCTTATAACATGTACGTTCAAAAGGAAAGGTTGATCCAGGAAACAGATGAAGTAACACATTATAGATCTGTTATGATGTGTCTCAGTACACATGGCCATTTCAAAAGTATACCTAATACTGCCAGAAAGTACAATGTACTGAAGAAATAGTAATTGGAATACTTAGGCCCATAGGGCCACTTGTCTCTAGAGGAGAGGATGTAGGCCAACTCATGAATTTCTGCAGAACAATAACCCCCAAATTGCCTCTGGAAATGACCTCCATTCACCCTCTTTGAGGTAACTTAGATTCTTGAACTAGCTGTGTCAATTTCCTTCCATTATTTGTCAATTACCTAAGTCTTTACTGAGAATCTGCCATGACCCAGCTCTATGCATCATAGGGAAACCAATCTCATAGGAAACGGGTGAAGTTGCAGCCTGCCCTGTTTCATGGTTACACTACTTTTGAAATAATTTCAGATAATCTGCTGAGTTTTTCCTCAATTTTTGACATGTGAATTATCTATCTCAGAGGTCTGCAGAGACTTACTTTCAGTTAGTTAGGTTAAAAGATAACAGCAGTAGGTTCGAACTCAGGGATAATTGCAGAAGAAGTCATCATTTGAGTGTGTGTATATACATACTATCAAATATTTGATTATGTTAATGGAAATAAAACGTCATTCCTCAAACACCAAATAAAAACAATTAAACCAGCACATATAAATTCCTTCCAAGTAGTCAAACCAGTTGTAGGCATAAATCTGTAAAACAAACAAACAAACAAAACACACACACACACACACACACGCACAAACCACACACACTCCAAAGCCAAATGTAACTGATTTAGCGGATTGTCCTTCATTTTGAATATTACTTTCTCTCTTTCCAACAATACAAACTTGTCTAATGTCAGAATATTTTTGGATACTCTCCTTTCTTTGAGACAAAATTTATTCTATGATCCTCTATGGAAATTAGCTAAGCTGGAAGTTTGAATAACCTTCTGATATGGTTTGGTTGTGTCCCCACCCACCCAAATCTCATCTTGAATTGTAGCTCTCATGCTTCCCATGTGTCTTGGGAGGGACCTAGTCAGAGATAATTGAATCTTGGGGGCGAGTCTTTCCTGTGCTGTTCTCATGATAGTAAGTAAGTCTCATGAAATCAGGTGGTATTATAAAGGAGAGTTCCCTACACAAGCTCTCTCTTGCCTGCTGCCATATAAAAAGTGTCTTTGCTCTTACTTTGCCTTCTGCCATGATTGTGAGGCCTCCCCTCCCATGTGGAACTGTGAGTCAATTAAACCTATTTGCTTTATAAATTACCCAGCCTCAGGCATGTCTCTATTAGCACCATGAGAACCGACTAATACACCTTCTAACCCTTCCTCTGCTTATATGTATCTTTTAAGATTGACTTAAGGGTGATTCTACACACACATACACAGACACACACACACACACACACGACTTAAATAGACAATTCTTCAAAGAAGATAAACAAAGATGACCAATGAGCATATAAAACGATGCTCAACATCATTAACCATCAGGGAAATGCAAATAAAAATCACAATGAGATACTACTTTACATCCACTAGGATTGTGATATGTATTTTTTAAAAAAGAGAAAACCAGGTGTTGGGGACGATGCAGAAAAATTGGAACCCATATACACTGCTGATGGGTATGTAAAATAGTGTGGTCATATTTGAAAACAGTCTGGCAGTTTCTCAAAATTACAAATTGACCCAGATGTTCTATGAGTAGTTATATACATAAGAAAATTGAAAACATATTCACACAGAAATATTCTGTGCAGAGAAGTTAATATCAGAATTATTCATAACAGCCAAAAATTAAAAAAATCTATTAACTGATGAACTGAAAAATAAAATATTATATATAATTAAAATGGAATATTACTCAGCCATGAAAAATAATGAAGTACTGATACATGATACAACATGGATGAACTTTGAAAATATTCTAAGTAGAAAAGGCCAGTCACAAAACACAGCACTTTTTTACTTACATTTTTCCAGAGAAACAGAGCCAGCAAAATGTATGTGTGTGTGTGTTTGTGTGTGTGTATGCATGTGTGTATGTGTGTGTGTAGAGAAAGAGAGAGATTGAAAGAGGAAAGAGAGAGATTTTGTGAAACTGGCTCACATGATTATGGAGACTTTGTAAAGCCAAAATCTGCAGCATAGACCAGCAGGCTGGAGACCCAAGAAAGAAATACAATTTGAGTCCAAAGGCAGTCTACTGACAGAATTCCATTTTGCTCAGGAGAAATCAGTTTTTGTCCTACTAAAATCTTCAACTGATTTTAAAAGGCTCATCAAAATTATGGAGTGCGATATTTTTTACTCAAAGTCTACCAATTTAAATGTTAATCTTATCCAAAACACACCTTCATAAAATCTTACAGAATAATGTTCAACCAAATATCTGGGCACAATGGCCGAGCTAAGTTGACACATAAAATTAATAATCACAGCCATGTGTTAAATGATTCCATTCATATAAAAGGTACAGAAAAGGCAAATTCATAGACACAGAAAGTAAATTAGCGGTTACCTAAGGCTGTGAGGGGTTTGGGAACTGGGCACTGACTGCAAATGGGTACAGGGTTTCATTTGGGGGTGATGAAAGCGTTTTCAAGTAATTCACATGCACAACTCTTTGACTATATTTAAAACTACTGAACTGTACACTTCAAATATGTTATTTGTATGGTATGTGACTTATATTTTAATAGAGATGTTATTTATAAAAGGATTCAAGGCACAAAACATCATGCTATAATCCTGTTTTTCTTCACACAGGATGTCCAGCCAATTTACTCACCCCTAAACACACCTTCTGAAGTCTCATTTGCTTCCATTTCTTGTAATTTAGAGAAAAATTATCATCTACAAACTAACTTTAAAAATAAGTCTTTTTTTACTTAATAATAATAGTAGTAGTACTATCAGTTTTAGCTAACATTTATTGCACACTTACTATGTGAAAGAGACAATGTTTAGTACATTCAATTCATTTCATTCAATTCTCACAATAATCTCACAATTCAATTTTCACAACTTAAATAGTTAAGTTGTCCATGGCCACTTAATTAACTTCAGCATTAGTCATGAAGCAGAGACAGAATCCAAAATGAAATCTATTCGATTTCAATAGCTGCATTCTTAAATATAGTCTCATGCTTTCAATCACTTGTCAACCTCTCAAACTTTTAACACTAAGTTTGCATAGGAAACAATTAAAACTCAGATTTTTTTTTATTCCCTCAATAAAGAATACTTTTTTTTCCAACTCTTGTCCTTTACTATCTTTGAAACTTAGATCAAAATTCAACTTCTCCAAGAAGCCTTCCATGATCATCTTCTAGTGCACCTTCTTTTATTTCATCTTTCCCTAAAATTTAAGTATACTACCTTCCATTTTATTTCATATATTTTTTCAACATTTTAATAACATTTTGTATATATGTGTATTATCTTTTAAAATACATATTGATGGCCTACTATGAATAAGGTACTGTCCTGGATTCCATGAATGAAGTTTACAGAAAAAGTAAAATGACAATATATTTCTGTACTCTAGATGCATACAAACTATACAGATATGCATGTTTACATTTTTATATAAAAATGTTGATAACATTACCATGTCAGATATAATTAATTTACAAATAGTTATAGGCTATAATTGCTTTTGGAATCTAGAGAATTATAATAGCCAGAGAAGCCTCCCTAGATGAGAAGTGGTATGAACTATTTCTTGAAAGATGGACATGACTTAGACAAATAAAAGGAAAGTGAAAGGCCATTTTAGGCCAGGAGACTAGGGTTAATGATATAGGGTTGGGAAATGTTCGAGGAATATTTGAGTGAAAGCATAGCTGAAGCAGAAACTACATCTTTTGAATTATTTGAAGATTAGTCTAAACGTATAATGGAGTGATGTCAGATAATGAAGAGCCTGAATATTAGGTTAAATAATTTAGACTTGATTCTGTAGATAAATTGTCTAAAATCATTATAGGCCTCACAACCATCTCATAAAAGATGCACTCCAAACTTATTTGTTTATTTATAAATCATATTTACATACCACTATACTAATTAATGCATTGCATATATTATAAATGAACAGAAAATAAAATTTTAGAAGGGTAATCTAAAATAAATAACACGAAGTTTCTAATATTTTCTTTCCTTTCCCTAGTATATTATCTTGCATATTCCCTGTGGCACACACACTCCACTTTGATACACTGCTATAGGATATAGAGAGGATATTTCTGGGAGATGGACAACATCACTGAGGATGCAAGATTGCTTGTAGAAGATGGGAGACAAGGAGTATGCATTCATAATAGCATCAGTAATAATAACGTCTTAAACCAGGGTGATGGTAGTGAGAGTGGAAAAGAAGGGATAGATGTAAAAGGCATTATGAAAGTAGAATTGACAGAGTTGTTGAGTAATATGGAGACAGACAAAATGGGAAATATAGAAAAACATTGAAATTTCTATGCTGGAACAGAAGCCCTTGGGTAATTTCTAGATTTCAGATGGAAACTCATCCTGAAGGGAAAATGAGTCCCATTCTAGATATGTTATTTTGGGCACACCTGTAAAACAGACAGCTGGGAAATCTTTCAGAACAATCTTCTCTAAAATTATTTTGTCTGCCTCCACATCCCATGAATGCACTCCGGGATCTAACACACCAGGTTGCCTCTGTGTTTGCCATGGACACCTTCCAGGTCTCAGCTCTCTCTAGCACCTAATTCACAATCTATACTCCTCTCCCCACCAGCTGGTACCATGTGCCCTAGCCCTTTGGATAATGTACCTGAAAATGATACTGAGTATATTCTTCTCTTCCAGATTTTGACAAATGTGTTGCTTCACTCATTTTAAACAATCAATATTGCAGAAGACTCAAGTTACTAAAATCAGAAATAAAAGTTAGGATATCAGTTCTAAGTTTAGACAAATAAAAAAGATTACAAAAGTGCACTATGAAAACATTTACAATAAATAAGATAATCTAAATAAAATGGTCAAATCCCTGGAAACATATGACCTACCAAGAGTGAAACATAAAGAAATAGAAAATCTAAATACACATAACTAATAAGGAGATTGAAACAGTAATTAATATCTCCTAACAAAGAAAAGCCCTGGAACAGATAATTTCACTGGTGAATTCTACTGAACATTTGAAAAGGAATGTCTCAATTTTTAAAAAACTCCCAAAAAATTGAAGAAGGACAAACATTTTTGAAGTCATTATGAGGCCAGCATTACCTCATGATATGGTTTAGCTCTGTGTCCCCATCCAAATCTCATGTTGAATTGTAATCCTCGATGTTGAGGGAGGGACACGATGGGAGGTGATTGGATCACGGGGGCAGATTTCCCATTGCTTTTCTCATGATAGTGAGTGAGTTCTCATGAGATCTAATTGTTTGAAAGTGTGTAGCACTTTCTGCTTCACTGTCTTCTGCTCCAGTCATGTAGGACGTGCCAGCTCCTCCTTCGCTTTCTGCCATGATTGTAAGTTTCCTGAAGCCTCCATCAGCCATGCTTGCTGTACACCCTGTGAAACTGTGAGCCAATTAAAACTCTTTTCTTTATAAATTACCCAGTCCTAGGTACTTCTTTATAGCAATGTGAAAATGGGCTAATTCACCTTGATATCAAAGCCAGAGAAAGACACTGCAAGAAAATTACATACCAAATATATCATTTAAATATTGATGGAAAAATCTCTCAATTAAACACTACCAAACCAAATTCAGCAGACTGTTAAAATATTATACAACATGACAATTAGGATTTAATCCTGGAATGCAACGATTGTTGAAGATATGAAAATCAATATAATACATCACATTATCAGAATAAAAAGGAATAACACATGATCATTTCAATTGAAATGGAAAAAGCATTTGACAGAATACAATACATTGTCTTTATAAAAATATTAAACAAACTAGAAATAGAAGCAAATTATGTCAACATACTAAATGTTATGTGTGAAAAAAATCACAACTGACATCATACTCAGTGATGCAAGACTAAAAGCTTTTTCTCTAATATGAACAAGACAAAGATCCAGAATTCATCACTTCAATTCAACATAATATTGGAAGTTCCCAGAGTACTTATGCAAGATAAAGAAATAAAGGATATCAAATTAAAAAGGAAGAAGTAAAATTAGCTCATCTGCAAATGACATGATCTTATATGTGGAAAACACGAATGATACTACACATTTAGAAAACACATTTGAAAATAATAAATCAATTAGAGAATGTTGTCAGATCCAATATTAATATGCAAAATCACTTACATTTCTACATAATAACAAAGAACAAACCTAAAATGATATTAGTATAGGTAAATTTAAAAAGACAAAAATATTAGTTGTTGTATAGGACTGGAGAGAGGGTGATATGAGGAGTTATTGTTTAATGGATACAGAATTTCAGTTTGGGAAGATAATATTCTGGATTTGGATGAAGTTGATGGTTGCATAGCAATGTGAATGTACTTAATACCATTGAACCATACACATAAAAGTGGTTTAAAATGGTGAGTTTTGTGTTATGTATATTTTACCACAATATAATAAATGTAATTAAAAGAAAAAGAGAAAACAATCCTACTTAAAATAACATCAACGAGAACATAAAATGTCTAAAATATTTAGATAATATAAAACAAGAAGAATAAAAACTTGTTCAAAAGAGGACTTTGTATTGAATCTTTGATACCAACTCAGCCATAGTAGGACAGGGCACTGGATCTAGATGTGAAGCCCCCATTCTTGGCTCTAACACTTGAACAACATTTCTAGACACACCCTGGGCTGGAAGAGAGCCCACTGCATTGACTGGAAGAACCTAGTAATTATGATACCAATCACTTGCTGACTAAGGAACCCTTAGGCACTGAATAACCAGCAGCAATACCCAAGTAGTATGCCATGGGCCTTGGGTGAGACTCTAAGACATTCTGACTTCAGGTGAGACACAGCACATTCCCAGGTATGGTGGCTACAGTTAGATGAAGTACTGTGTCTTGCACCTTAGGTACAGCTAGAGAACAGGGCATAGAGCACCAAGAATGTCTCGGGGTCCGCAATTCCAGGCCAAGGCTCTGGGATAGCATTTCTGGATCTGCCCTGGGTGAGAAGGTAGCCCATTGTCCTGAAGGGTGAGTCTCAGGCCTGACAACATCCACCAGAAGCTGACTAAAGAGCCCTTGGACCTTAAGTGAACATTCATGATATCCTGGCCATATTCCCTGTGGGCCTGTGTTGGCAGTGGCCACGTGGTGAAGCTCCTTTGTCTGTTGAAAGGGGAACGAAGAGTGGGAACAACTGCTCTTGTGGTTTGAGTGCCATCTCAGCAGCAGTACAACAAAACATCAGGTATATTTCTAAGGTTTTTTACTGTAGTCCCTGGTGCCTAGAGAGCATGTCTGGACCCACCTCAGGCCTGGGGAAACTTGCTATCCTAAAGGAAAAGACAGCCTTAACAGCTTTACCTGATGATTGTACACCCTTAGGACCTTGAACAAACATAGGCAGTAGCCAGGGAGTGGTTACAGTGGGCCTGAGACCCGGTGCTGTGCTGACTTTAGGTCTGACCCAGTGCACTCCCAGTGGTAGTGGCCATGGGGTGCTTGTGTCACTTCACCCCTAGATACAAGTGGCTCAGCACAGAAAGAGATACTCTGTTTACCTGGAAGAAAATAAGGGAAGAGAACAAGAGTCTCTGCCCATCAATCCAGAATATTTTTCTTGATTTATCCAAGACCACCAAGGTGATATCTCTATGAGTCTGAAGCAACCACAGCATTACTGGGCTTGGGGTGTGTATTAGTCTGTTCTCACACTGCTAATAAAGACATACCCAAAACTGGCTAATTAATAAAGGAAAGAGGTTTAAAGGACTCATAGTTCCACGTGGCTGAGGAGGCCTCACAATCATGGCAGAAGGCAAAGGAGAAGCAAAGTCATGTCTTACATGGTGGCAAGCAAAAGAGCGTGTGCAGGAGAAACTTCCATTTATAAAACCATCAGATCTTGTGAAACTTATTCACTACCATGAGAACAGTTTGGAGGAAAATGCCCCAATGATTCAGTTATCTCCACCTGGCCTCACCCTTGTCATGTGGGGATTATTATAATTCAAGGTGAGATTTGGGTGGGGACACAGCCAAATTATATCAGGATGCCTTCTATGGAAGGTACAGCTTAGATCACAGTACCCAAGTCGTTTCAAATACTTGGAAAGGCATCCCAAGAACATGCAAATATGAATCTAGAGTGTGAAGATTGCAGTAAATATGTAACTCTTCAATGTTCAGACACGGAAGAAATTCTACAAGCATAAACACCATCCAAGAAAACATGACCTCATAAAACAAACTAAATAATGCACCAGGGACCAATCCTGGAGAAACAGAGGTATGTGACCTTTCAGATAGAGAATTTGAAATAACTGTTTTGAGGAAATTCAAAAAGAATTCAATATAACACAGTGAAGAAATTCAGACTTTTATCAGATGAATTTAGCAAAGAGATTGAAATAATTAAAAAGAACCAAGCAGAAATTCTGGAGTTGAAAATACAATTGACATACTGAGGAATGCATCAGAGACATTTAATGGGCATAATTGATCAAGTGGAAGGAAGAATTGGTGAACTTGAAGATAGGCTATTTGAAAATACACAGAGGAGACAAAAATAATAGTAATAAAAAAGAAGCACATAAACAAAATCTGGAAAATAGCCTCTGAAGGGCAAATCCAAGAGTCTTAAAGAGGTGGTGGAAAAAGAGATAAGTGTAGAAAATTTATTCAAAGAGATAATAACAGAGAACTTCCCAAACATAGAGAAATATATCAATATCCAAGTATAAAAAGGTGATAGAACACCAAGCAGATATAATCCAAAGACATCTACCTCAAGGCATTTAATAATCAAATTGTCAAAGGTCAAAGATAACAAAAGGATCATAAAAACAGCAAAAGAAAAGAAAGAAATAACATACAATGGAGCTCCAATATATGAGAGTGGCGTGACATATTAAAATTGCCAAAGAAAAAAACAAAAATTTTTACCCTAGAACAGTATAACCATTGAAAATATTCTTTAAACATGAAGAAGAAATATTTTTCCAGACAAACAAAACCTGGAGGACTTACTCAACATCAGACCTCTCCTACAAGAAATGCTAAAGGAAGGAATACTTCAATCATAAAAAAGAACATTAATGAACAATAAGAAATCATCTGAAGGTATAAAATTCACTGGCAACAGTAAGTAAACAAAAAACCCCACAGAATATTATAACACTGAATCTCTGGTATGCAAACTATTCTTAACTTAAAAAGGAAGACTAATAGATGAACTAATAAAAAATAATAACTACAATAAATTTTAAGACATAGTACAATAAGATATAAACAGAACCAACAAAAAGTTAAAAAGTGGGGGACAAATTTTTGATTTAGGGTTTTTATTAGCTTTCTTTTTGTTTTGCAAATGCTTCTACGTTGTTATCAGCTTAGAATAATGGGTTGTAAGGAAATATTTATATTTCTCATCATAACTTCAAATCAAAAAACATACAAGAGATATAAAAAAAATAAAGATAAAAAAGAAATTAAATCATATCACTAGAGAAAACCACCTTCACTAAAAGGAAGCCAGGAAGGAGGAAAAGAAGGGAGTTAGGAAAACAAGCAACAACATGGCAATAGTGTGTCCTTACTTATCAATAACATTGAATATAAAGGGACTAAACTCTCTAACAAAATGACACAGAATGGCCAAATGGGTAAGACAACAAGACACTATAATCTGTTGCCTGCATGATGCATACTTTACCTATAAAGGTACACAAAGACTGAAGATAAATAAATGAAATGTGTAGCAAGATAGCCAAATAGAAGCCTACACCATTTGTTCTCCCTGCAAGAACACCAAATTTTAACAACTAACTTCACACAGAAAGCACTATTACAAAAACCATAAATAAGTGAGCAACCACAGTACCTGGTTTTACTGAAAAAGACATTGAAGATGGCAGGAAAAACAGTCTTGAAGAGCCAATTCAACCCCTCCCCCATCCCCTGGCAGTGGTTGTGCGGTGCAGAGCACAGTCATTGTGAGGCTTTGAATTAAAGTCAGTGCTGCCCTGTCACAATGGAAAGTAGAATTGGCCTTCACTCACCTGACATTTTTCCATGAAGGAAGCACTTGGACTGGCCCTAGCCGGAGGGTAATCACCCATTCCAGTAGTCAGAGTGTGAGTTCTGGGAAGCCTCACCATTGTAGACTGCAGTGCTCTGGGACCCCAAGTGAACTTGAGTAGCAGTCTGGGCCACAAGGACTGCAAATACTAGGCAAGTCCTACTGCTGAACTTGGCTCAGAGCCAGTGGACTGGGCAGGCAGGTGACCTAATGAGACACCAGGAGGAGTAGCTAAAGAGCATGCTTGTACCATCCCCCTCCCATCCCCCCTGAAGCAGCCACATAGCTTGGAGAAAACTGTGCACCTGGGAAAAGATAGCAAAGGAACTGGGAGGTTTCACATTGAATTCAATGCTGCCTTGCAAATATTGTTAAGTTGTTATGAGCTTAAAATAATGGGTTATAAGATATTACTTGCAAGAGTCATGGTAACTTCAAATTGGAAAACATGCAACAAATACTCAAAAAATGAAAAGCAAGAAACTAAATCATACTAACAAAGAAAATTACCTTCACTAAAAGGAAGACAGAAAAAAAGGAAAGAAGGAAGAGGAGACTTCAAAACAACCTGAAAACAAATAACAAAATGACAAAAGTAAGTTCTTACATATCAATGATAACATTGAAGGTAGATAGATTAAACTCGCCAAACAAAATATATAAAGTGGTTGAACAGATTTGTTTTAAGAGACTCAGTGATCTGCTGCCTTCAAGAAATGCATTTTACCTATAAACCTAAACATAGACTGAAAATAAAGGGATGGAAAAAGATACTTCATGGCAATGGAAACCAAAAAAGAGCAGAAATAGCTCTACTTATACCAGACAAAATAGATTTCAAGACGAAAACTGTAAGAAGAGACAAAGAAGGTCACTATATATTGATAAAAGGTCAGTTCATTAAGAGGTTATAACAATTTTACTTATATGTGCACCCAACACAAGAGCACCCAGATACATAAAGCAAATACTATTAGAGCAAAAGAGAGAAACAGACCTCAATACAATTATAGCTGGAGACTTCAATACCCCACTTTCAGCATTGGACAGATCATACAGGCAAAAAATAAACAAACATCAGACTTAGTCTACACTATAGAATAAATGGGCCTGATAGATATTTACAGAACATTTCATCCAATGGCTGAAATACACATTATTCTCCTCAGCACATAGATCATTCTCAAGAATAAAGCACATATTCGGTCAAAACAAGTCTTAAAACATTTAAAAAAATTGAACTAATGTCAAGCATCTTCTCTGACTACATGGAATAAAACTAGATATCAATCAGAAGATGAATTTTGGAAAATATACAAACACATTAAAATTGAAGAATATGCTCCTGAATGACCAGGGGGCAGATAAAGAAATTAAGAAAATTGAATATTTTCTTGAAACAAATGATAATGGAAACACAATATATAAAAACCTATGGGATACAGCAAAACTATACAAATAGAGAGATAGATAACTATAAGTGCCTACATCAAAAAAAAAAAAAAGAAAACATTCAAGTAAATAACATAATGATGTATCTCAAGAATTAAAAAGCAAGAGCAAACTAAACCCAAACATAGTGGAACAAAAGAAATACTATCACAGCAGAAGTAAATTAATTTGAACTTAAGAAAACAATATGAAAGATTCACAAAACAATAAGTTGTTTTATTAAAGATAAATAAAATTGACAAACATTTAGCTACATTAAATAAGAAAAAAGAGAAGACCCAAATAAATAAAATGATAAATAAAAAGGGAGACATTACAACTGATACCGCTATAATTCAAGGGATCATTAGCAGTTATGAGAATATGATCGTCAAAAAATCAAAAAATCCAGAGGAAATGGATAAATTTCTAGAAATGTGCAACCTACCAAGACTGAACCAGGAATAAATTTAAAACCTGAATAGACCAATAACAAGTAATGAGATTGAAGCCATAATAGAATTTCCCAGTTTTTTTAGAAAAGCCAAAGATCCAATGGCTTCCCTGCTAAATTATACCAAACGTTTAAAGGAGAACTAATACCAACCCAACTCAAAATATTCTGAAAAGCACAAAAGGAGGGAATACTTCCAAACTCATACTATGAGGCTAGTGTTACCCTGATAACAAAACCAGACAAAGGCACATCAAAAAAGAAAACTATAGGCCTGTATCTCAGAAAAATAATGATGCAAAAAAAATCCTCAACAACGTATTAGCAAACAATTCAATGCTACATTAGAAAGATCTTTCATCATACCCAAGTGGGATTTGTCACTGGGTTGCAAGAATGGTTCAACATACACAAATCAATCAGTGGGATATATCATATAAACAGAATGAAGGATAAAAAACATATGATCATTTTAATTGATGCTGAAAAAGTATTTGATAAAATTCAACATACTTTCGTGATAAATACCCTCAAAAGACTAGGTATTGAAGGAACATTCGTCAACATAACATAAATCATAACAGACCCACAGCTAGTAACATACTGAATGGGGAAAAATGGAAATCCTTTACTTTAAGATCTGCAACATGACAAGAATGCCCAATTACACCACTATTATTCAACATAGTACTGGAAGTCTTAGATAGAGCAATGAGACAAGAGAAACATAAAAAGGGCATTAAAATTGGAAAGGAAGAAGTCAAATCATACTTCTTTGAAAAGGATATGATCTTATATTTGGAAAAAACCTGACGACTTCTCCAAAACACTATTAGAACTGATAAACAAATTCAGTGAAATCACAGAATACAAATCAGCATACACAAATCAGTAGCATTTCTATATGTTAACAGTGAACAATCTGAAAAAGCAACCAAAAATTAATCCCATTTGTAATAGCCCCAAATAAAATAAAACCTAGGAATTAACTTAACCAAATAAGTGAAAGAAAACTACAACGTAAACTATAAAACACTGATGCAAGAAATTGAAGAGAACACAAAAAAATGAATGATATTCTATGTTTATGGATTGGATGAATCAATACTGTTAAAATGTCCATACTGCCCAAAGCAATGTACAGATTCAACGCAATCTCTGTCAAATTGACAATGACATTCTTCACAGAAAAAAAATCCTAAAATTTATATGAAACCACGTCTACAGTGAACTCATTTTTTACAAAGGTGCCAAGAACCTATGCTGGGAAAAGAGTCTCTTCAGTAAGTGGTGCTGGGCAAACTAGATATCAATATGCAGAAGAATGACACGAGATTCTTATCTCTCACCATATACAAAAATCCAATCAAAATGGATTAAAGACTTAAATCTAACACCTCAAGCTCTAAAATTCCCATAGAAAACATTGAGGTAACTGTACAGGAAATTGGAGTAGGCTGAGATTTCTTGAGTAATACTCCACAAGCACAAGCAACCAAAGGAAAAAAAAATGAAGAAATGGGGTCACATTAAGTTTAAAACCTTCTGCACAGCAAAGAAAACAATCAACAAAGTGAAGATACAACACAGAGAATGGGAGAAGATATTTGCAAACTACTAATCTGACAAGGGATTGATAACCAGAATATATAAGAAGCTCAAACAACTTTATAGGAAAAAATCTAATAATCTAATTAAGAAATGAACAAAATATCTGAATAGGCACTTCTCAAAAGAGGACATAAAAATGGGAAACAGGTATATGAATAGGTACTCAACATTATTAATCATGGGAGAAATGCAAATCAAAACTAAAATGAAATATCATCTCACCTCAGTTAAAATGGCTTCTATCCAAAAGACAGGCAATAACAAACGCTGGCAAAACATGTGGAGAAATAGGAACCCTGTACACGGTTATTAGGAATGTAAATTAATGCAACCATTATGGAAAACAGATTGAAGGTTTCTCAAAACTTAAAACAGAACTATCATATGAGCCAGAAATTCCACTGGTAGGCATATACCCAAAAGAAAGGAAATTAGTATATCAAGAAGAGTTTTGCACTGCCACATTTGTAGCAGCATAGTTCACAATAACCAAGATTTGGAGGCAACTCAAGTGTTCCTCAATAGATAAATGGATAAAGAAAATGTTGTATTTATACACGATGGAGTACTATTCATCTGTAAAAAAGAATGAGATGGTGTCATTTGCAGTAATATGGATGGAACTGTAAGTCATTATGTTAAGTGAAATTAGACATGGAAAGGCAAACATCGCATGGTCTCACTTAACTATGGTAGCTAAAAATAAAAATAATTGAAGTCAATGAGATAGAGAGTAGAATGATGGATACCAGAAGCTGGAAAGAGTAGTGGGGATGGGGGGAGGTGTAGGAATTGGGGATAATTAATGGGCACAAAAAATAGTTTAAAAGAATGAATGAAACCTAGTATAGGCTAGAACAATAAGGTGACTCTAGTGAAAACTAATTTAATTGTTCTTTTTTTTAAGACAGGGTCTGACTCTGTCACCCAGGCTGGTGTGCAGTGGCACCTTCTTCATTTAAAAACAACTAAAAGAGAATAATTGGATCATTTGAAACACAAATAATAAATGCTTGAGGTGATGGATACCCCATTTATCCTGATGTGATTATTACACATTGCATGCCTGTATCAAAATATCTCATGTAATGCATAAACAGATACACTTACTATATGCCCCCCAAAAATTAAAAAGTCTTGTACAGAACTGCAAAACATTGCTAAAAGAAATTTTAAAAGACATAAGTAAATGGAAATGCATCCCATAACAATCCACTAGAAAACTAATATTGTTAAGATATCAATGCTAGAAAAACTAATCTACATATTCAGTGCAAGCTGTATCAGAATTTCAATAATGTATTTTGAAGAAACAGAAAAATCTATCTGAAAATTCATATGGGATTCTAAGAGACCGCAAATAAGAAAAAAACGTATAATGAAAGAGAAGTACAAAGTTTGAGGACTCAGTCTTCCTGATTTTAAAACTTACTACATAGCTACAGTAACTAAAACAGTGTAGTGTTGACCAAAATACATACATTCAGACTAGTGAAATAGAATGAAGAGAACAGAAACAAACTCTCACATATATAGTCAAATGATTTTTGATGAGGGTGCCAAGATCACACAATAAGGAAAGAACAGTCTTTTCGATAAATGGTTTTGGCAAAACTGTATATGCACTACAAAATAATGAAGTAGGACCCTTACCTTACAGAAAGATTACCTCAGAATAAGTAAGACACCTAAGTGTCAGAGCTAAAAGCATAAAACTCTTAGAGAAAGCATAGGAATATGTAGTCAGTTCTTGGATATGACACCAAATTACATATCAAAATAGGAAAAATGGATAGATTGGACTTCATCAAAATTAATAATGTTTATGCATGAAACGACATAATCAGGGGAGTAAAAATGAAACACAGAATGGGAGATGATATTTTTCAATTATATATATGATAAAGGATTAATAATCACAATATATAAAGAACTACTATAACACAAAACAATAAAATTTGATTTAAGAGTGGGAAAAAGACTTCAATAAGCTTTTATCCAAAGAAGACATACAAATAGGCAATAAGCACATAAAAAGACGTTTGCAATCACTAATCACATTTGATCAGAAATGCATATCAAAACACCAATGAGAAACCACTTCACACTCAGAAGGATGGCTATTATTTAAAAAACAATAATAAGCCAGAAAAATACAAGTGTTGGCAAGTCAGGAAATTGGAAACTTTGTACATTGCTGGTGGGAAAATGAAATGGTGCAATCACTGTGGAAAATAATATGGACGTTCTCCAAAAAACTAAACATTAAATTACCATATGATTCAGCAATTCTACTTTGGTGTATATAAGCAAAAAATTGAAAGCAGAGGCACAAATAGATATTGCTACACTAATGTTCCTAGCAGCAGTATTCAGAAAAGCTAAAAGGTGGAAGAAACCCATGTACACTGACAGATAAATGAACAAAATGTGGAATATACATGCAAAGGAATATTATGCAGCCTTCAAAAGGAAGGAAAATATGATACATGGTACAAATGGATAAATCTTAAATACATTATAAGTGAAACAAGCCAGAGGCAGAAGGAAACAAAGAGTATTTTATGATTCCACTTATATGAGGTACCTATGATAGTCAAATTCATGAAAACAGAAAATAGAATGAAGGTTACAGGGCCTGGGGGAGAGGGAATTGGGGATTTAGTGTTTATTAAGTTCAGAGTTTCAGTTCAGGATAATGAAAAATTTCTTGAGATGGAGATTGATGATGGTTACACAACAACACGAGTCTACTTAATGACACTTAACTGTACGTATTACATGGTTAAGATGATATATTTTATGTATGCTCTAAAACAATAAAAATTATAAATTATAAAAAATTTTAAAAATTGTATAGAATGCATCTTTATTTATCTTTTGTTTGAATAATTATGCCCATCAGATTACTATGCTACTGTGATTGGACTTGTACTTTTTAAAACTCCTAACTAAAAAACATCCTAACTAAATATTCATAATATAGCATTTTTAATGATTGTTCTACTTTATCAACTATAACAAATTCTATTACTCATTATTTATTTCATTCCACCTTCTTTAATTCTATGTAATTCAAGTATCCATTGGGACATTTTGAACTGTCACTATTTTCCTGAGGTGAGACAAGACTGTTAATGGGAGAAATTCTACCAAGGTCAAGGTGAATTGTGAGAATTTTCAGCTCTTTTTTTCTAGAGAAGGCTTCAAACCCACGTCAATAGATAGCTGTAGCTGAAGTGGTCAAGTTTAGTACCATTTTCTGTCATAATTTACTGTTGTCTTTAAAGCAAAGGTCTGAGCTCTTAAACCTACTCAAAATACTGAGCTCTCACTGCGTTCAGAATCTCAAATTTTAGGCCTTTCTTTGGCCATTCTTTCCACCTAGAATGCCCTGTTCTACCTTCCCTCCCTGTCTTTGCTAGTCTAAATCCTTCACATTTTCATATGCTTTCTTTGGGTTCCTTTTTATTTATGAAGGTTAGACAGATTCCCCAACAGAAAATAATATCTTCTGTCTTAAAATTCTAAGAATCTTTTATCTGGACTTGTTTTATGGCAAAATTACTTTTCTGCCTTCTATCATAGTCATTTGTGTATAAATCTCCACCAAATTGGGAATTACTCAAATGCAAGGATTATGTCAAACATTCATAGCACAAGTGTTTTATACAAGTAATTACTTTCTTAAAAATTTAACTTTTATTTTAATTTCAAGGGTATGTTTGCAGGTTTGTTATATATGTAAACTTGTGTTATGGGGTTTGTTGTACAGATTATTTCATCACCCAGGTATTAAGCCTAGTACCCATTAGCTAATTTTTCTGATCCTCTCCCTCCTCCCATCCTCCACCCTCTGATAGGCCCCAGAGTGTGTTGTTTCCCTCTATGTGTCCATGTGTTCTCATCTTTTAGCTGCCACTTATAAGTGAGAACGTAGTATTTGGCTTTCTGTTCCTGTATTAGTTTGCTAAGGATAACAGCCTGCAGCTCTATCCATGTTCCTCCAAAAGACATGATCTCATTCTTTTTTATGGCTGCATAGTATTCCATGGTGCATATGTACCATATTTTCTTTATCAAGTCTATCATTGGTGAGCATTTACTTGATTCCATGTCTTTGCTATTGTGAATAGTGCTATAATGAACATATGCATGTATATGTCTTTATAATAGAATGATTTATATTCCTTTGGGTAAATACCCTGTAATGGGATTGTTGGGTTGAATGGTAGTTCTGTTTTTAGGCCTTTGAATAATAAATAATTTCTTAATACTTATTCGGCACTAAATTCTACTTAACTGGTTAATTGAATTTCATTGAGTTAAATTGAAACATTTGGAGTGCTCTACCCTATAGAAGTCACTAAGTATTGTTAATAAAAACCAAATACTAATCCTCTTTCCATCCCGGGGCCTTTACCCTTGCTTTGTCTATGACTGCAACATTTTCCCTTAAGACTACGGCTCTGATAAATTATCCAGTCCACTACTCAAAATGTCACCTCTTCAGAGTACTTTTCTGAACAACCAAAATGAAAGCAAATACATACTCTGCACAAACTATCTCCTTATCCTGTTTTACTTTCTTCATGAAACTTACTATTATGTGACTTTATATTACATCATATATTAATGTATTTATTAGTTTATGTATACCCACACAGATTTCATTGCAGCAGGGAACTTGTCTGCAACCCCAGAGGCAAAATGAAATGTATTACTTGGATAGTGTATTAGTCAAATGATTTGCACTGATTATGATCTTTTGTGACCTTAAGCAAATCACAGTAGCCATCTACTATCAGTTTACCTCCACATAAAATGGAGGACCCCAATATCCCTGTTAGTTTCGGCATATAATTGGTATAGGATCTTATAGAACCTCTTTTTTTTAGCAATTCATGCTACAATTTTATTTTTATTTTTATTTTTTGTGGGTACTTAGTAGTTGTATATAGTTATGGTATACAAGACATATTTTGATACAGGCATGTAATGCATAATACTCAAGTCATGAAAAATTGAGTCTCCATCCCCTCAAGCATTTTATACCTGGGTACTCTCAATGTTTCTCTCTGCTATGAAAGGAAAGTTAGCTTTCAAGATATTATCTGATGATACAAGATTTTTAGAAAACAATAGACTTCACAGGGCATGTTATGTCTTCCTTTGACACTAAAGAGATCTAGTCTTGTTCCTGGCCCTCAGTGACTCATCCCCTTTTTCTGTAGTAGGAGCTCTCCTGGCTTAAAGTAAGGCTAATAGAGGGGTCAGGTCAGGATTGAAGAGAAGAAAAACAAGTTCTGTGGCTCTCTTGAGGTTGACCCAGAAGGGTCATTAATGCAGACATTGACTAATATCTATGGGTAAGATCAACAGTGAACCTGCATCTGAGACATGCACAGGCCCAGGAAGTGATACTTTTGATAAGTCTTCATTGGCACTTCTGAGGTCGCTGAGGATGGAGATCTGTGCCATTTACTGGACAGAGCAAGCCCATAAGAGCATGACATTGGAAGTCTATGTAAAAAGACTTCAGATCATCCTCCTCATTTTAGCTCACCATCTAGCAAGTTCAAGAATGGCACCTCTTCCCAAAAGTTGAAGCAATAATTTGGCCTCTCTGGTATTTAGAATTTCCTGAATTAACCCCAAAACAGTTGAGTCCTGAGAACCATTGAGAACCAGTTTTCCCAGGATTAACTGTTCCGAGAGATAAAAACTATTTTAGTAAGAACTTAATTTCCAAAGGCAAATTTCCCTGCTCCCTGTTCATCCCTCACATACACATTTCAAGTCAATGCAGTCTTTTCAAAAGAAAATCAAACCAGGACAATTGCCTCTGATATAATTGGTTTAAGGAGGAGAAGTAGATTTCTAATCTGAGGCTGTATAAATGTATCCCACTTTTTCAAACTGGTTATCATACTTTCTGAAATTCCACCATTGGGTTTTATTGCTTTAGATTAAGGCACTGCTATGTCTATAAATTGTTTAGGTAACAAATTCTTATAAGCCATTGCCCCTTCTTTTCTCGTATCTTTCATCTTTTGTTCCATGGCCTTTTTTTTGGTTTATGTCCTCAGTCTCAGGACCCCTTTGTCTATAACAAACAAATGGGTAACAAAAATCTCTGCCTGACATTCTAAATTCTTGATCAGTTTATCACCTTTTATTCCCAGTCAAATATATAAAACACATAATTTGCATCATTTTTACTCTCTCATCATTCCTTTCCTTCCTAACTTCCTCCAAACTGCTTCTTTTTCCATCTTCCCTACTCTACCCTTACCACACCATTCCAGCCTTCTTTCCAACTTATCTTTCCAAAGGCTCTAATAAATTTTATCTACTCTCACTCTCCCAGTTTTTTTCATTTGTTTGTTTTTGAATTTTGAACACTTTTGACACTGTCTATTGATTCAACCCAAACGTCCAACAATGATAGACTGGATTAAGAAAATGTGGCACATATACACCATGGAATACTGTGCAGCCATAAAACATGATGAGTTCATGTCCTTTGTAGGGACATGGATGAAATTGGAAATCATCATTCTCAGTAAACTATCACAAGAACAAAAAACCAAACACCGCATATTCTCACTCATAGGTGGGAATTGAACAATGAGAACACATGGACACAGAAAGGGGAACATCACACTCTGGGGACTGTTGTGGGGTGGGGGGAGGGGGGAGGGATAGCATTAGGCGATATACCTAATGCTAAATGACGAGTTAATGGGTGCAGCGCACCAGCATGGCACATGTATACATATGTAACTAACCTGCACATTGTGCACATGTACCCTAAAACTTAAAGTATAATAATAATAAAAAATGTATATATTCAATGCCCACTATGTGCCACACATTCTCCTCCTTTCTAAAATATATTTTGTTCATTGTCTTTTTTTTCCTTCCTTCCACACTCCCTCCCTTTTTCCCTCCCTCATTCTCTCCCTCCCATCCTTTTAACTTTCTACCTCTTTTCTTTTCTTTTCTTTTTTCTTTTCTTTTCTTTCTTTCTTTTCTTTTCTTTCTTTCTTTTTTTTCTTTCTTTCTTTTTTTGTCTTTTTTCCCTTTCTTTCTCCTCCTAACACTTCTTTCTTTTCCTTCTCCTTCTCCTTCTTCTGTCATTTATTTTATTTTTTTCACTTCATTTGTCAAGGGACTTGCCTTGTCTGGGATGACAATTTGGACTGTGAACTTTTAAGTTAATGCTGAAATGAGTTAAAAGTTTGGGGGACTGTTGGAAAGGCATGATTAATTTTGAAATGTAAGTACATGAAATATGGGAAGGGCCAGGGGCAGAATGATTAGTCTTTGGATGTGTCCCCACCCAAATCTCATCTTGAATTGTAACTCCCACAATTCTCACATGTCACGGCAGGAACCCAGTGGGGGGTGATTGAATTATGGTTGCAGATCTTTCCTGTGCTGTTTTCATGATAGTGAATTAGTCTCAAGTGTTCTGATGATTTTAAAAAATAGGAGGTTCTCTGCACAAACTCTCTCTCTCTTTGCCTGTCACCATCTACATAATATGTGACTTGCTCCTCCTTGCCTTCCTCCATGATTGAGAGGCCTCCCAACCACATGGAACTGTGAGTCCAATTAAATCTCATTCTTTTGTAAGTTGCCCTGTCTCAGGTATGTTTTTCTCAGTAGCATGAGAACGGACTAATATACTGAGCCTAAGAGGGAGGAAGCTGGGAACCCGGTACAAAATTGTCAAGCACCAGAACTCATTCCTGGCCCCAAGTGGCTCCTGTGGAAGGGGTGAGTTAGATAGGCATGGAGTGCTTCACTCTTGTCACAGACCTCTGGAATCCTAGCTGCAGAACACTCCACAGTCCCCATAGAAATATGAGTTGGCAAGAAGCACTGCTGGACAGTTTTCAGGAACAGGACTCCAACCGTGTGAAGCCCACTGGGTTTGTTGGAGTAACAGCTCCAGGGGAGCAGGGCCAGAAATATCTGTCCCCTAAGAATTGCCATGCCCCTCTAGGTGGCTTTGGCAATTTTTTACTGTTTGACTTGGACTGTACAGGGATATCTTATCCATGGGTGGGGCTCTGTTTGATCTGATTGTCCCCCCCTACATTTGCCAGCCTCTCCCAGTGTCCCTTCCCAGCTTAACTAACTTGAAGTGCAGCTATAGAACCCAACAAGGGTGTTTCCCAGAAGCCACGCCATAGCTCTTTCACTGGTAGATACTGCCTGACTATCAGAGAGCTTTCACAGATGGGCCTTGGAAAGCATGTATTGCTCACAGTCTGCCCCCACTGCTTTGCTGGTATGCACTTGTCTACAGCCTCCCTCCACCACTTTGCTGGAGCACATGCATATGTGAACCTTGCTATCCCACTGCCACCAGTGTATGCATGCACTTGCATGTGCAGTGGAACATGTGCATAGTGCCCCACTACCATCAACACACATGCACATATGCAGACCCTGATGCACTGTTGCTCCACCACCACCACTTTGTGCATATGCACAGACCCTACTGTTTCACTACCTTGCCACCACTGGTGTGCATGCATGCATATGGACCCCCCAGCCCTGCTACCACTGGCATGGATACATAATTATGAATCCCACTGCCACTACTACAATAAAGTGTTTTAGCTGGAACACTTCCATCAAATTGTTGTTGAGTGGACAACAGTGGTCCACAGTGGGCCAGGAACACATTGGTCTCTACAGCACAGCAGGTGATTAATATCAAGGGGCCAGAAAACAAAGCCATGAGCCTGCCTACTAGGGTAAGAGAACACAGCCCAGGAGTGCTAAGCTGAGCCTTGGTTCCCTAAAATAATCCACAAAAGAAGCCAGTTTACTATACCCAACTTTTACCACAGTCAAACCCTCAAGGGCACCAAAGAATATAGAAGCAAAAAGTTCTATCAAAAGGACAGAAATTTCAAACATTAAAGGAACATTGGCCCACACAGATGAGAAACAGCCAGCATGGGAACTCTGGCAACTCTAAAAAGAGTGTCTTCTTACCACCAAACGACTGCACTATATCCCCAGAAATGATTCTTGCTCAGATTTACATGGCTGAAATGACAGACATAGAATTCAGAGTCTGGATGTCAAGGAAGATTATTGTAATGCAGAAGAAAGTTGAAATTCAATCCAAGGAATCTAAGGAATGAAATAAAATGATTCAAGAGATGAAGGACAAAATAAAGTTTAAGAAAGAACCGACTGATGTGATAGAGCTAAAAAAGTCACTACAAGAATTTGATAATATAATAGGAAGTAGGAAAAACAAAATAGACCAAGATGAAGAAATAATTTCAGAGCTTAATGGTAAGCTATTTGAATCAACTCAGTCAGACAAAAATAAAGAATAATGTTAAAAATCAATAAAACCTCTGAGAAATATGGGATTATATAAATAAAGCAAATTCATGATACATTGGGGTCTCTGAAAGAAAGGGAGGGAGAGCAAGAAACATGGAAAATATTATTGAAGATATTATCCATGAAAGTTTCCTCACCTTGCTAGAGAGGTCAGCATTCATATTAAGAAAATTCAGAGAACTCCTGTGAGATACTATAGAAGACAGCCTTCTCCAAGGCACACAGTCCTCAGATTCTCTGAGGTTAACATGAAAGAAAAAAATATTAAAGGCAGCCAGAGAGAAAGGGCAGGTCACCTACAAGAGGAACCCCATCAGGCTAACAGCAGAACTTTCAGAGGAAAATTTACAAGTCAGAAGAGATTGGTGGCCTACATTTAACATCTTTCAAGAAAAGAAATTCCAACCAATAATTACATATCGAGACAAACTAAACTTCATAAGTGAAGGAGAAATAAAATCTTACTCAGATAAGCAGATGCGAAGGGAACTCATTTCCATCAAAACTGCCTTAAAAGATGTCCTGAATGGAGTGCTAAACATGAAAAAAAGACTGTTACTGACCATGAAAAAAATACCCTTAAATACATAGAACATTGACACTCTAAAGCAACTACACATTCAAGTCTAAATAGCAAGCATCTAGCTAGCCACAAAATAACAGGATCAAATCTGCACATATTTGTGTTAACCTTGAATGTAAATGGGCTAAACACACCAATTAAAAGGTACAGTGTGACAAGTTGGTTGGGTAAAGAAGCAAGACCCAACTGTATGCTGACTTCAAGAGACCAATCTTACATGCAATGACAAACATAAGCTCAAAGTAAAGAGATGGACAAAGATCTCACAAGCAAATGGAAAACAAAACAAAACAAAAGACCAGGAGTTGCTATTCTTATTTCAGGCAAAACAGACTTTAATCCAATAACAATTAAAAAATACAAATAAGGGCATAATGTAATAATAAAAGATTCAATTCAATTGAACAAAAAGACAAATCTCATAAGTATGTATGCAATCAACACTGGAGCACCTAGATCCAGAAAGTAAGTCTTGTAGACTTAAAAAGAGACTTAGATAACTACACAAAAATAGTGGGAGACTTCAAAACCCCATTGACAGTATTTGATAAACCATTGAGGCAGAAAACTAACAAAGATGTTTGGGGCCTAAACTTGTTCTTTGACCAAATGAACCTAACAGACATCTATCTACATAACAATCCACCCAACAACTGTAGAATATACATTTGTCTAATTTTCACATGGTGCATACTTTAAAATCAACCACATGCTCATCCATAAAGCATTCTCAACAAATTAAAAATACCATAGTCATACAAACAACACTTTCAGACCACAGTGCAATAAAAATAGAAATCAATACCAAGGTCTCTCAAAACTATACAATTATGTGGAAATTAAACAACCTGCTCTTGAATGACTTTTCAGTAAACAATGAAATTAAAGCAGAAACTGAGAAATTATTTGAAGCTAATAAAAACAAATATCCAATATACAATAATCTGTTGGACACAGCTAGAAATTAAGCATTCCTCTAAGCAGTGTTAAGAGGAAAGTTTATAGCACTAAACACCCACATTAAAAAGTTAGAAAGTTCTCAAATTAACAACCTAAAGCCACACCTACAGGAACTAGAGAAACAAAAGTAAACTAACCTCAAAGCTAGCAGAAAAGAAATAATCAAAATCATAGCTGAATTGAATAAAATGGAGGTGTAAAATCACAAAAAAAAGATCAAGAAAACAAAAAGTTGGCTATTTGAAAGAATAAATAAGATTGATAGTCCACTAGCAAGACTAATAAAGAAACAAGAGAGAGCATAAAAATATACACAATTAGGAATGAAAAATGAAATATTGCTGCCAACACGACAGAAATACAAAAAACCCTCTGAGGATCTTACACCTCTATGCCCCAAATCTAGGAAACCTAAATTAAATTGATGAATTCCTGGAAACATAAAACTTCCCAAGATTGAACCAGGGAGAAACTGAAAAACTGGACAGAACAATGATGAGTTTAAAAACTGAATCAGTAATAAAAACTTACCAACCAGAAGAGCCCTGGACAAGAAGAATTCACAACCAAATTATATCAGATGTATACAGAAGAATTGGAACCAATCTTACTGGAATTATTCCAGAAAATGAAGAAGGGACTTCTCCCTACCTCATTCTATGGGGCCAGAATAATTCTGATACCAAATCCTAGCAGAGACACCGTGAAAAAAGAAAACTTCAGGCCAATATCCCAGATGAATATAAACACACAAATCCTCAAGAGAACACTTGCAAACTGAATCTAGCAGGATATCAAATAGTGAAGCCACCATGATCAAATAGTCTTTATCCCTGAGCTGCAAGGTTGGTTCAAAATATGCAAATGAATAAATGTGATTCATCTCATAATTGGAACTAAAAACAAATACTAAATGACCATCTCAATAGACACAGAAAAAAGCTTTCAATGAAATTGTAATCCTTTCATATTCAAAACATTCAACACACTAGGAATTGAAGGAAGATACCTCAGAATAATAAGACCCATCTTTGAAAAACCCATAGCCAACATTATACTGAATGGGCAAAAGCTGGAAGCATTGCCCTTGAAAATCAGAAGAATACAATGATTCCCATGTCACCACTCCTATTCAACATACTACTGGAAATGCTAGCCAGAACCTTCAGACAAGGGAAAGAAATAAAAGAACATCAAAATATGAGAAGAGGAAGTCAAACCGTTGCTCTCCACTGATGATGTTATTTTATACCTAAAGAACTCCATAGTCTCTGCACAATGGCTCCTAAATTGGATAAACAACTTTAGCAAAGTTTTAGGATACAAAATCAACGTACAAAAATCAATAGCATTTCTATACACAAATAACATCCATGCTGAGAGCAACATCAAGGTCAAAATCCCGTTCACAATAGCTGTAAAAAGAATAAGATACATAGGAATATAGCTAAGCAGGGAGGTGAAAAATCTACAATGAGCATTATAAAAAGTACTCAAATAAATTGGAGATGATATGAACAAATGAAAGAACATTTCATGCTCTTGGATAGGAAGAATCAATATTGTTAAAATGGCCATACCGTCCAAAGCAATTTACAGATTTCCCACCAAACTATATATGACATTTTTTCACAGAATTAGAAAAAAACTATTCTAAAATTTTTATGGAGCAGAAAAGAGCCTGAACAGCCAAAGCAAATCTCAATAAAAAGGAACAAAACTAAAGGCATCACACCACCTGCCTTTAAACTACACCACAAGGCTACAGTTACCAAAACAGCATGGTCCTGATATAAAAACAGACACATATACCAATTTAACAAGTTAGCGAACCCAGAAATAAGGCCACACACACACATACAACCATCTTATCTTTGACAAAGTTGACATTAACATGCAATGGGGAAAGGACTGCCTATTCAATAAATGGTGCTAAGAGAACTGGTTATTTATACACAGAAGATTTAAACTGGACCCCCTCCTTTTATCATATACAAAAGTCATCTCAAGATGAATTAAATGTATAAGCTAAAACTATAAAAATCCTAGAAGAAAAACTAGGAAATACCATTCTTGAGAAAGTCCCTAACAAATGTTTCATGATGAAGACTCCAAAAGCAATTGCAACAACAACAAGCATTGGCAAATGGGAACTAGTTAATCTAAAGAGCTTCTGAACAGCAAAATAAGCCATCAAACAAGCAAACAGAAAACCCACACAATAGGAGAAGATATTTGCAAACTATGTATATGACAATAGTCTAATATCAAAAGTCGTTAAGGAACTTAACATATCAGCAAGCAAAAAACAAACAACCCAATTAAAAGTTGGCAAAGTATACAAACAGATAGTTCTCAAAAGAAGACTTATATGTGGAAAATAAGCATATGAAAAAGTGTTCAACATCACTAATCATTAAAGAAATCCAAATCAAAACCACAATAAAATATCATTTCACACAAGTCAGAATGGCTATTATTAAAAACTCAAAAAATAACAGATGCTGGCAACATGATGGAGAAGGAAGAATGCTTATACACTGCTGGTGAGATTGCAAATTAATTCAGCCACTGTGGCAAGCAATTGGAGATTTTTCAAAGAACTTAAAACCACCATTTGATCTAGCAATCCCATTACTAGGTATATGCTAAGGAATATAAATTGATCTAACACAAGGACACATGCATGTATATGTTCATTACAGCACTCTTTACAATAGCAAAGACATGGAATCAACCTAGATGTCCATGAAAAGTAGAATGGATTTAAAAAATGTAGTATATATATACCATGAAATACTACAGAGCCATAAAAATTAAATCACATCATTTGCTGCAACATGGATAAACCTGGAGGCTATTATCCTAGGCAAGTTAGCGCAGGAACAGAAAATCACACACCGCATGCTCTGACTTATAATTGGGAGTTTAATACTGAGTACACATGGACACAAAGAAGAAAATAATAGACACCAGGAGCTACTTTGGGGTGGGGGGTTAGGGTGACAATTGTAAAATTACCTACCTGGTACTATGTTTACTACCTGGGTAACAAAATAATCTGTACACAAAACCTCCAAGACACATGATTTGCCCATGTAACAAACCTGCACATGTAACCCCTGAACCTAAAGTGATAGTTAGAAGAAAAAAATTATACAATATCCTCTTTTCTACCTATCCTGATATTTCTGCCTGCATACAATGCTAAGAACTGTACAAAGTCCTGCATCCTCTCTGCAAACATCATTGCCCTCAGTATCTCTTCTTTTGCATCTATTGTGTGTGCAACATATTTTCCTATGATTTTCATGTCTGGCTCCATCTCTGACTGAGAATTTTAAGGGAAGTATATATGACAGTACTCATTAACTAATTTCTTTGAGCACCTAGCACGATTCCCAGGGTCCAAAAAATGCTTTATAAATATTTGTTGGGTAAATTGAAGAATTCTTAGTACAGAGCCAGATAAACAGTCTTCTCGGTTAAAAAATTAGACACTTATTTTAAAAACTATCTGATAAAAAGATGCTCCCAAAATATGAAATCATCAAAATCAAGCTCTTTGTATTATATAGATTTGAATGCTTCGCTGTGCCTAGCATGATAAAATGTGATCAGCATTCAGAAATGGCTCCTGTTTTTTTAAGTCTATATATCTATATAGTTTTAATTGATATACAAAAACATCTGTATGTGTTTAATGTATACAATTTGATGAGTTTGGACATATGCATATATCCATTATACTGTCACCATAATCAAGTAATAAACATATCCATAACCTCCAAAAGTTTCCTTGTGTCCCTTTGTGGTTTGTGTATGTTTGTGTGTGTGTGAATATGTGTGTGAAGACCATTAATATGCAATCCACCTTCTTAGCCAACATTCAAATGTACAATACCATATTGTTAACTATAGGCTCTATATTGTACAGCACGTTTCTAGAACATTTTCATCTTGCTTAATTTAAATTTTATACCTGTTGAACAACAATTATCCTTTTCCCCCCTCACTCTAGCCCCTGGCAATTACCATTCTATTCGCTGCTTTTATGAGTATAACTGTTGTAGATATCCTATCCGTGTGAATGAAATTATGTAGTAGTTCTCTTTCTGTGGCTGCCCTGTTTCACTGGCATAATGTCTTCCAGATACAACCATATTGTCACAAATGATAGGGTTTCTGTATTTTTAAGACTGAATAATATTCCTACATATATACATTTTTCTCTTTGTTATATGTATAAATTTATGGGGTTCAAGTGTTATTTTGTTATATGCACAGATTGCAGTGTTGAAGTCAGAGCTTTTAGGGTACGCATCACCCAAATAACATACATTATGCCAATTAAGTAACTTCTCATCATCCACTCTCCTCCTATCCCCTTATCATTCTAAGTCTCCATTGTCTATAATTCCATATTCTACAACCATGTATACACATTATTTAGTTCCCACTTATAAGTGGGAAAGTGTAGTATTTGTTTTTCCATGTCTGACTTGTTTCACTTAAAATAATGGTCTCCAGTTCCATCCACGTTGTTGCAAAAGATGTGATTTCACCCTTTTCATGGCTGAATAGTATTCTACATGTCTATGTATCACATTTTCTTTTTCCAGTCATCTGTTTATAGACACTTAGGTTGATTTCATATCTCTGCTATTGTGAATAGTGCTACAATATACATACATACAAGTGTGGCTATCATTTTGATATAATGATTTATTTTCCTTTGGGTAGATATCCAGTAGTGAGATTGTTGCATTAAATGGTAGTTCCATTTTTAGTTATTTGAAAACTCTCCATACTGTTTGCCATAGAGGCTGTGCTAATTTACATTCCCACCAACAGTGTATAAAAGTTCCCTTTTCTCTACATCCTCACCAATATCTGTTATTTTTTACTTTTCAATAATAGCCATCTGACTGGTGTAAGATAATATCTCATTGCAATTTTCACACATCTGTAGTCCCAGCTACTCAGGATGCTGATATGGAAAGATCTCTTGAACCCAGGATGTCAAGTCCAGCTTATACAGTGAGACCCCATGTTTTTCAAAAGTAATAAATATACATTTGTTTTCTTCATTCATCTGTTCATGAACATTTGGGTTGTTTTCATCTTAGCTATTGTGAATACTCCTGCAATAAACATAGGAGTGAAGATACTTCTTCAAGATGATGATTTCAATTCCATTGGATGTATACCCAAAAGTGGAATTGCTGGATCATAGGGCATTTCCATTCTTAATTTTTTACTATTTTCTATAGTGGCCATACCATTGAATATTTGCACTAATAGCACACAAAACTTCTAATTTCTCTACATCTTCACCAACACTCTTTTGTATTTTTAAATAGCCATACTGACAGGTGTGAAATAATACATCATTGTGGTTTTGATTTGCATTTTCCTGATGATTAGTGATATAAAGAACCTTTCCAAACACCTGTTGTCCATTTGTGTCTTTTTTGGAGAAATGTCTATTAAAGTCATTTGCCCATTTTTTCGTTGGGTTATTTGGGTTTTTATCATTGAGTTGTAGGAGTTTCTTATATGTGTTCCATATTAACCCCTAATTAGACAAAAGTTTTGCAAATATTTTATCCCATTTCATAGGTTGCCTTTTCCTTGTGTTAATGCAGGCATACCTTGGAGATATTGCAGAATTGGTTTCAGACAACCACAGTGTAGTGAGTATTGCAATAAAGTGAATCACAATAATTTTTTTTAATCTTTCAATACATATAAAAGTTAAGTTTCCATGACACTGTAGTCTGCTAGGTTTGCAATAGCATTTTGTCTAAAAAATGATGTATATATCTTAATGTAAAAATTATTTATTGCTAAAAATGGTTAATGATTATCTATGCCTTCAGCAAGTTGTAATATTTTTGCTGTTAAAGGTTCTTGACTTAATGTTGATGGCTACCGACTGACCAGGGTAGTGGTTGCTAAAGGCCGAGGTGGCTGTTGCAATTTCTTAAAATAAGACAACAATGAAGTTTGCGGAATTAATTGACTATTTCTTTCACAAAGATTTCTCTGTAGCATGCAATGCTGTTTGATAGCATTTTACCCACAGTAGAACTTCTTTCAAAATTTGAGTCAATCCTCTCAAACCCTGCTGCTGCTTTATCAACTGAGTTTATGGAATATCCTCAAGCCTTTGTTGTCATTTAAACTATTGTCACAGCATCTTCACCAGGAGTACATTCTATCTCAAAAGAACACTTTCTTTGCTCATTCATAAGAAGCAACTCCTCATCCATTCAAGTTTTATTATGAGATTGCAGTAATTCAGGCCTATCTTCAGGCTCCACTTCTAATTCCAGTTCTCTTGGTATTTCCACCACATCTGCAGTTCCTTTTCCACTGAATTCTTGAACGCTTCAAAGTCATCCATGAGCATTAGAATTAACTTCTTTCAAAGCTCTGTTAATTTTGATAATTTTACCTTCTCCCATGAATCACAAATGTTTTTAATAGCACTTGGAATAGTGATTCTTTTTCTAGAAGGTTTTCTATTGACTTTGCCTGATCCATCCGAGGAATCATTGGATTTTGCAAGGCTATTACATCTATACCTTTACACAATGTAGTTCTTACATGATAAGACGTTAAAGTCATAATTACTCCTTGATGCATGGGCTGCAGAATAGATGTTGTGTTACCAGGCATGAAAACAGTATTAATCTTCTTGTACATCTCCATGAAAGCTCTTGGATCACTTAATGTATCATCAATACGCAGTAACATTGTGAAATAAATAGTTTTTATTTCTGAGAAGTAGTTCTCAAAAGTGGGGTTAAAATATTGAGTAAACTACTCTGTAAACAGACATGCTGTCATCCAAGCTTTGTTTTTCCATTGATAGAGCACAGGCAGAATAGATTTAGCAAAATTCTTAAGGACCCTGTGATTTTCAGAATTGTAAGTAGGCACTGGCTTCAACTTAGTCACCAGCTTCATTAGCTCCTAAAAAGAGTGTCAGCCTAGCCTATGAAGATTAAAAGCCAGGTGGTGACTTCTTCTCTTTAGCTATGAAAGTTCTACATGGCATCTTTTGCCAGTATAAGGCTGTTTCATCTACCTTGAACATTTGTTGTTTATTGTAGCTAACTTCACCCATTATCTTAAATATTGATGAAATATTATAGATAAATATTATCAATGACTTGCTTAAACTTCTACCTCAGCACTTACTGCTTCACCTTGTACTTTTATATTATGGCTCTTTAAACCTCATGAACCTGTGCTAGCTTCAAACTTTTACAGCTTTCTCACCTCTCTCAGTCTTCACAGGATTGAAGAGAATTAGGATCTTCCTCTGAATTAGGCTTTGCCTTAAGGGAATGTTATGGCTGGTTTGACCTATCCAGATCACTAAAACTTTCTTCATATCAGCAATAAGTTGTTTTACTTCCCTGATATTTGTGTGTTCAGTGGAGTAGCAATTTTAACATTCCTTAAGAAGTTTTCCTTTCCACTCACAATTAGGCTGTCTGACACAAGAGGACTTTTAGCCTCAGTTTTCAATATGCTTTCTTTACTAAGCTTAATTATTTATAGCTTTTTATTTAAAAAGAGAGACATACAACATTTCCCTTCACTTGAACATTTAGAGGTTTGTGTAGGATTATTAATTGGCCTAATTTCAGTATTGTTGCATCCCAAGGAGAGGGAGGAGAGCTGTTGAAATGGTCAGTCAGTGGAGCAGTCAGAACACATACAACATTTATCAATTAAGTTCACGTGTGCTATGCGGGTGCAGTTCATGGTGTCCCCAAACAATTAAAGTATTAACTTCAAAGATCACTGATCACAGATTACCATAATAGACAAAAAAAAATGAAAGAGTTTAATTATATAAAAATAATGAAAATGTAACAATTACCAAAAGGTAACACAAAGACATGAAGTGAGCACCTGCTGTTGGAAAAATGGTGCTGATAAACTTGCTGGTCACAGGACTGCCACAAACCTTCAATTTGGAAAAAAAAAAAAAAAAAGCAATATCTACAAGGCACAATTAAGCGAAGTGCAGTAAATTGAGGTATGTGCTTATAATACTGGATATAAATATGAGAAGACCCAAAGTCTTATAAACTTCCTTATTGCACCAAATTTTGCTCATTCAATGAAATTATGTTTCTATTTGTTAAAAAATGCATTTTTGATGCCTTGTTCTCATTTCCTTTGCTTGCTTCACCTTTTCCAACTGGTTCACACTTGCTCCCCCTTGCCAGTATATTTGGACTAACTACCATCCACTGTGGAAGAAGATAATTTGAAGAGACGTTATCGGTCAAATATACATACTCTACCAATATTAGTATCATCTTAAATTTCTCCATTAGACATTCGTTTATTTGGAACTTAAAAAGGCTATTGATTTTTTTTTGAAACTCTGAAAGTATCTGAAATTATTTCTCTCTAAGAGCCAGACACTAAGTGAGACTGCCTCTAAGTAGAAATGGTATCTGGGAAAAATGGGAGAGGTGAGTCATGAAAAGAAAAATATTTCTGAGAGAAAAAGGCAAGCAAATATTCAACAGTCTCAGATATAATTCATCCAGGTGTATCCTCACTCTTCCGTAAACATACTTGCTCATGGTTTTTATTTTCTTAAAATGACTCTTTTTTTTTTTTTTCTGGGTCAGAGTTCACTCTTGTTGCCCAGGCTGGAGTGCAATGGCACGATCTCGGCTCACTACAACCTCCGCCTCCCAGGTTCAAGGGATTCTCCTGCCTCAGCCTCCCAAGTAGCTAGGATTACAGGCATGCACCACCACGCCTGGCCAATTTTGTATTTTTAGTAGAAACAGGGTTTCTTCAGGTTGGTCAGGCTGGTCTTGAACTCCCGACCTCAGGTGATCCACCCGCCTTGGCCTCCCAAAGTGCTGGGATTACAGGTGTGAGCCACCGCGCCTGCCCTCCCCCCACCTTTTTTTCAGTATTTTAATACAAAAGTGTATTTCTTACTCATGCAACAGTCCAACAGAATGTTTTTTATTAAGTGACATTTCTAAGCAGTTCATCTTTTAGTAATGATTCAGGTCCCAGGCTCCATTCATCCACGACTCTTCCATCACTTTGGTCTTCTAAGTCCACTGATATTATTTGTTGCTTCTGACATCAGATGGGTGAAGACGAGGCAATAGAGGGTAACACCGATTCTTTTGCATTTCTTTCTTATAGCGTCTCTTCTATATACTTTATACACACTAGGTGGCAGTGCAATGAAAGAAGGAAAAGTAGAATCCAGAATCGGACAAAGATTGTACACAGATCACATCTTACAGCATCTTCATTTTTAAAATGAAAAAAACAAAAAACAAAAAAACTGGGGCCTCATTAGGGAGGTGACCTGTCCAAAGTCACAAGCTAGTTAGTGCCAGCACCCAGTCAGTTCCTTATCCATGTTCTTCAACCATTTTATTCTCTTTAGTCTCTCAGCCCCTCTGTTTTCCCTCACCCACACTCAGCTCTTCACTTTCTTCTCCAGCTAACCCAATTCCTTTTCTTGTGAGGTAGTCAACTCAAGGTACCTTGTGAGGTAATCAACTATTCTTATCATTATTTTCTAGATTAGAAAGGGATGCACAGAGAGGACAAGTACCCTGGTTGAGATCACACAGCTAATAAATAGCAAAGTTGTGTTGCAACACTAGACTCTAGGGTTCAGATTCTGTGCCAATAACCACTATTCTATACTACCAAAGTTATCTAATATCTACTGTTCCTTCTTAAAGTCCTGCACTTCCTTAATTTCCATCAGACATTTTGTCAAAGTTTGTTCCTAACTCTCTGCCTGTTTTCTCTCTGTATCCTTTAGTTTTTTTCTGTGTCAGTCTCTCAAATGGCAACATTCTCTAGCATTCCATTCTCTGTGTTCTCTTAATTTCTAAAATCAACAAGTCCTAAATTAAAATATAAGTTCCACCATTAACCAATTTTATTACCCTGGACAAATCATTTCATCTCATCAGGGTGAAGTGAGAAATAAATTACATAGCGTCTGGCATATATAATAGTAGATACTAAAAGAATACTAGTTTTTATTGTTACTATCATCATCATCATCATCAACATCATCATCGTCATCACCATCATCACCATCACTATTCCTAATTTATATTCATGGGCTCCACTAACTCCTCTATGCTGATCATTTTTATATAAAGGATCCAATCATAATCCTAAAAGATACAATCACAAATGCCATAATCTTGAATGCTGAAATCCCAAAACATCAAAATCCTGAAATTATGATCCTGGAGAAAGCAATTTTTAAAGTTATTTAAAAGCCATTTATTTACCTTTTGTTGTATAATTTAAGTTCTGGGATACATGTGCAGAACGTGCAGGTTTGTTACATAGGTATACACATGCCATGGTGGTTTGCTGTACCCATCAACCCGTCATCTACATTAGGTATTTCTCCTAATGCTATCTGTCCCATAGCCCCCCACCCCCTGACAGGCCCCGGTGTGTCATATTCCCCTCCCCCTGTCCATGTGTTCTCATTGTTCAACTCCCACTTATGAGAGAGAACATGCAGTGTTTGGTTTTCTGTTCCTGCGTTAGTTTCCTGAGAATGATGGTTTCCAGCCTCATCCATGTCCCTGCAAAGGAGATGAACTCATCCTTTTTCATGGCTGCATAGTTTTCCATGGTGTATATGTGTATATGTGCCACATTTTCTTTATCTGGTCTATCATTGATGGGCATTTGGGTTGGTTCCAACTCTTTGCTATTGTGAACAATGCTGCAATAAACATACGTGTGCATGTGTCTTTATAGTAGAATGATTTATAATCCTTCGGGTATATACCCAGTAATGGGATGGCTGGGTCAAATGGTATTTCTGGTTCTAGATGCTTGAGGAATCACCACAGTGTCTCCCACAATGGTTGAACTAATTTATACTCCCACCAACAGTGTACGAGCGTTCCTATTTCTCCACACCCTCTCCAGCATCTGTCATTTCCTGACTTTTTAAAGATTGCCATTCTAACTGGCGTGAGATGGTATCTCATTGTGGTTTTGATTTGTATTTCTCCAATGACCAGTGATGATGACCTTTTTTTCATATGTTTCCTGGCTGCATAAATGTCTTCTTTTGAGAAGTGTCTGTTCATATCCTTTGCCCACTTTTTGATGGGGCTGTTTGTTTTTTTCTTGTAAATTGGTTTAAGTTCTTTGTAGATTCTGGATGTTAGCCCTTTGTCAGGTGGATAGATTGGAAAATTTCTCTCCCATTCTGTAGGTTGCCTGTTCCCTCTTATTGTATTTTATTTTGCTGTGCAGAAGCTCTTTAGTTTAATTAGATCCCATTTGTCAATTTTGGCTTTTGTTGCCATAGCTTTTGGTGTTTTGGTCATGAAGTCTTTGCCCATGCCTATGTCCTGAATGGTATTGCCTAGGTTTTCTTCTAGGATTTTTATGGTTTTAGATCTTAAGTTTAAGTCTTTAATCCATCTTGAGTTAATTTTTGTATAAGGTATAAGAAAGGGGTCCAGTTTCAGTTTTCTGCATATGGCTAGCCAGTTTTCCCAACATGATTTATTAAATAGGGAATCCTTTCCCTATTGCTTGTTTTTGTCCGGTTTGTCAAAGATCAGATGGTATAGATGTGTGGCATTATTTCTGAGGCCTCTGTTCTGTTCCATTGGTCTATATCTCTGTTTTGGTACCACTACCATGTTGTTTTGGTTACTGTAGCCTTGTAGTATAGTTTGAAGTCAGGTAGTGTGATGCCTCCAGCTTTGTTCTTTTTGCTTAGAATTGTCTTGGCTATATGGGCTCTTTTTTGGTTCCATATGATATTTGAAGTAGTTTTTTCTAACTCTGTGAAGAAAGTCAATGGTAGCTTGATGGGAATACCATTCAATGTATACATTACTTGGGGCAGTATGGCCATTTTCACAATACTGATCCTTCCTATACATGAGCATGGAATGTTTTTCCATTTGTTTGTGTCTCTCTTATTTCCTTGAGCGGTGGTTTGTAGTTCTCCTTGAAGAGGTCATTAACATCACTTGTAAGTTTTATTCCTAGGTATTTATTCTCTTTGTAGCAATTGTGAATGGGAGTTCACTCATGATTTGGCTTTCTGTCTACTATTGGTGTAGAAGAATGCTTGTGATTTTTGCACATTGATTTTGCATCCTGAGACTTTGCTAAAGTTGCTTAGCAGCTAAAGGAATTTTTGGGCTGAGATGACGGGGTTTTCTAAAGATACAATCATGTCATCTGCAAACAGGGACACTCTGACTTCCTCTCTTCCTATTTGAATACCCTTTATTTCTTTCTCTTGTCTGACTGCTGTGGCCAGAACTTCCAATATTATGTTGAATGGGAGTGGTGAGAGAGGGCATTCTTGTCGTGTGCCAGTTTTCAAAGGGAATGCTTCCAGCTTTTGCCCATTCAGTATGATATTGGCTGTGGCTTTGTCATAAATAGCTCTTACTATTTTGAGATAAGTTCCATTAATTCCTATTTTATTGAGATTTTTTAGCATAAAGGGGTGTTGAATTTTCATATACAGCCAAACTAAGCTTCATAAGTGAAGGAGAAATAAAATCCTTTATGGACAAGCAAATGCTGAGAGACTTGGTGACCACCAGACCTGCCTTACAAGAGCTCCTGAAGGAAGCACTAAATATGGAAAAGAAAACTGGTACCAGATGCTGCAAAAATATACCAAATTGTAAACACCATCAACACTATTAAGATACCGCATCATCTAACAGGAAAAATAACCAGCTAGCATCATAATCAAATTCACACATAACAATATAAACCTTAAATGTAATTGTGGTAAGTGCCCCAATTAAAAGACATAGTCTGGCAAACTGGATAAAGAGTTAAGACGCATTAATGTGCTGCATTCAGGGGACCCATCTCACATGCAAAGACAACCATTGGCTTAAAATAAAGGGATGGAAAAATATTTACAATACAAATGAAAAGCAAAGAAAACCCCAAAAACAAAACAACAAAAACAAAAAAACCCGGGGTTGCAATCCTAGTCTCTGATAGAACAGACTTTAAGCCAACAAAGATCAAAAATGACAAAGAAGGGCATTACATAATGGTAAAGGGATTAATGCAACAAGAAGAGCTAACTATGCTAAATATATGTGCACCCAATAAAGGAGCACCCAGATACATAATGCAAGCTCTTAGAGACATACAAAAAGACTTAGACTCCCAAACAATAATAGTGGGACACTTTAACACTGCACTGTCACTATTAGACAGATCAACAAGACAGAAAATTAACAAGGATATTCAGGACTTGAACTCAGCTCTGGACCAAGTGTACCTAATAGACATTTACGGAATTCTCCACCCCAAATCAACAGAATATATGTTCCTTTCAGCACCACATTGCACTTATTCTAAAATTGACCACATAATTGGAAGTAAAACACTCCTCAGCAAATGCAAATGAGTGGAAATTATAACAAACAGTCTCTCAGACCACAGTGCAATTAAATTAGAACTCAGCATTAAGAAACTCACTCAAAATCACACAACTACATGGAAACTGAACAACCTGCTCCTGAATGACTACTGGGTAAATAACAAAATTAAGGTAAAAATAAGTAAGTTATTTGAAACCAATGAGAACAAAGATGCAACTTACCAGAATCTCTGGGACACAGTTAAAACAGTGTTTACAGGGAAATTTATAGCACTAAATGCCCACAGGAGAAAGTTGGAAAGATCTAAAATCGACACCCTACTATCACAATTAAAAGAACTAGAGAAGCAAGAGCCAACAATTTCAAAAGCTAGCAGAATACAAGAAATAACTAATATCAGAGCAGAAATGAAGGAGACAGAGACATGAAAAGCCCTTCAAAAAAATCAATGAATCCAGGGCTGGTTTTTTGAAAAGATTAACAAAACAGATAGAATGCTAGCCAGAATAATAAAGAAGAAATAGAGAAGGATCAAATAGACACAACAAAAATAATAAAGGGGATATCACCACTGATCGCACAGAAATAGAAACTACCATCAGAGAATACTATAAACACATCTATGCCAATAAACTAAAAAATCTGGAAGAAATGGATAAATTACTGGACACATAACACCCTCCCAAGACTAAACCAGGAAGAAGTCCAATCCCTGAATAAGCCAATAAAGAGTTCTGAAATTCAGGAAGTAATTAATAGCTTACCAACCAAAAAAAAAAAAAAAAAAAAAAAAGCCCAGGACCAGAAAGATTCACAGCCGAATTCTACCAGAGGTACAAAGAGGAGCTGGTACCATTATTTTTGAAACTACTCCAAACAACAGAAAAAGAGGGACTCCTCCCTAACTCATTTTATGAGGCCAGCATTATCCCGATACCAAAACCTGGCAGAGACACAACAAAAAAAAAATTCAGGCCCATATCCCTGATGACCATCAATGCAAAAATCCTCAATAAAATACTGGCAAGTAGAATCCAGCAGCACATCAAAAAGCTTATCCACCACGATCAAGTCGGCTTCATCCCTGGAATGCAAGGCTGATTTAACAGATGCAAATCAATGAACATAATCCATCATATAAACAAAACCAATGACAAAAACCACATGATTATCTCAATAGATGCAGAAAAGGCCTTTGATAAAATTATTTACCTTTTTAAAAGCATATTTATTTGAGAAACATTAAAACATGACAGAACACTTCATGGGATATTTTACACAAGTAAATAGGCAATATTAATATACATATTTGTACAAGTATAAACACTCAGGTATAATGACAGTTGCACAGGTATAACAGTTATAATAAGATAAACTGGATTAAAAATAGAGTCAAAATTGAAATATATAAATTTTTATTATTATAGTTGGTAATTGTTTGCACTCAATTTTATAACTGCCATCATCTGAAATACTCTGATGTATAACCTAAGTCTTTTTATTTCATTTTTAAGTTCTAGGATACATGTACAGCATATGCAGGTTTGTTATATAGGTAAACGTGTGCCATGGTGTTTTGCTACACCTATCAACCCATCACCTAGGTATTAAGCCAAGAATGTATTAGCTATTTTTCCTAACACTCTCCCTCCCCCTGCACCTTGATCCTGAGAGGTCCCAGTGTGTGTTGTTCCCCTCCCTGTGTCTATGCGTTCTCAAAGTTTAGCTCCCAATTATAAGTGAGAACATGTGGTGTTTGGTTTTCTGTTCCTGTGTTAGTTTGCTGAAGATAATGGTTTCCAGCTCCATCCATGTCCCTGCAAAGCACATGATCTTGTTCTTTTATATGGCTGCAGAGTATTCCAAGGAGTATATGCAACACATTTTCTTTATCCAGTCTAACATTATTGAGCATTTGGGTTGAGTCCATGTCTTTGCTCTTGTGAATAGTGCTACGATGAGCATACGTGTGACTGTATTTCTATAATAGAATGATTTATATTCCTTTAGGTATATAACCAGTACTGGGATTCTGGTTCAAATTATATGTGTGATTCTAGACCTTTGAGGAATCACCACTCTCTCTTCTACAATGAACTAATTTACATTCTCACCAACAGTGTAAAAGTGTTCCTATTTCTCTGCAACCTCTCCAGAATCTGTTGTTTCCTGATTTTTAAATAATTACCACTCTGACTGGCTTGAGATTGTATCTCCTTGTGGTTTTGATTTGCATTTCTCTAATAATCCAAGATGTTGAGCTTTTTTTCATATGTTTTTTGGGCACATGAATGTCTTCTTTTGAGAAGTGTCTGTTCATGTTCTTTGCCCACTTTCTAATGGGGTTGTTTGGGTTTTTTTGTAAATTTGTTTAAGTTTTTTGTAGATTTTGGATACTAGACCTTTGTCAGATGGACAGATTGTAAAAATTTTCTCACACTCTGTAGGTGACCTGTTCACACTGATAATAGTTTATTTATTTATTTATTTATTTTCCCTGTGCAGAAGCTCTATAGTTTACTTAGTTTCCATTTTTGCTTTTGTTGCAATTGCTTTTGGCGATTTCATCATGAAATATTTTCCCGTGCCTATGTCCTGAATGGTATTGCCTAGATTTTCTTCGAGGGTTCTTATAGTTTTGGGTTTTACATTTAGGTTTTTAATCCATCTTGAGTTGCTTTTTGTATAAGGTGTAAGTAAAGTGTCCCATTTTAATTTTCTGCATATAGCTAGCCAGTTCTCCTAGCACCATTTATTAAACAGAGAATCCTTTCCCCATTGCTTGTTTTTGTCAGGTTTGTCAAAGATCAGATGGCTGTAGATGTGCAGTCTTATTTCTGAGATCTCTATTCTGTTCGACTGGTCTACATGGCTGTTTTTGTGCTAGTACCATGCTGTTTTTGTTACTGTAGCATTGTAGTGTAGTTTGAAGTCAGGTAGCATGATGCTTCCAGCTTTGTTCTTTTTGCTTAGGACTGCCTTGGCTATACTAGCTCTTTTTGGGTTCCATATGAATTTTAAAATATATTTTTTCTATTTCTGTGAAAAATGTCAATGGTAGTTTAATGGGAATAGCATTGAATCTACAAATTACTTTGGGCAATATAGCCATTTTCATGATATTGATTCTTCCTATCCATGAGCATGGAATATTTTTACATTTGTTTGTGTCCTCTCTGGTTTTCTTGAGCAGTTGTTTGTAGTTCTCCTATAAGAGGTCCTTTGCTTCCCTTATTAGCTGTATTCGTAGGTATTTTATTCTCTTTGTAGCAATTGTGAATGGGAGCTCATTTATGATTTGGCTTTCTGCTTGTCTGTTGTTGGTGTATAGGAATGCTTGTAATTTTTGCACAATGATTTTCTATTCTGAGACTTTGCTGAAGTTGCTTATCAGCTTAAGCAGTTTTTAGGCTTAGGTGATGGGGTTTGTTAGATATAGGATTATGTCATCTGAAAAGACACTTTGACTTCCTCTCTTCTTATTTGAATACCCTCTATTTCTTTCTCTTGACTGATTGCCCCGGCCAGAACTTGCAATAGTATGTTGAATAGAAGTGATGAGAGAGGGTATCCTTGTCTTGTGCTGGCTTTCAAACAGAATACTTTCATCTTATGCCCCTTTAGTATAATATTGGCTGTAAGTTTGTCATAAATGTCTCTTGTTATTTTAAGGTGTGTTCCTTCAATACCTAGTTTATTGAGAGTTTGTAACATAAAGAAAGTTTGAATTTTTCAAAGGCCTTTTCTGCATCTATTGAGAAAATCATATGGTTTTTGTCTTCAGATCTATTTATGTGATGGATTATGTTTATTGATTTGCCTATGTTGAACCATCCTTGCATCCTGGGCATGAAGCCAACTTGATCGTGGTGGATAAGCTTTTTGATGTGCTGCTGGATTCAGTTTGCCAGTTTTTTATTGAAAATTTGTTGCATTAATTTTCATCAGAGATATTGATCTGAAGTATTCTTTTTCTGTTGTATCTCTGTCACGTTTTTGCATCAAGATGATGCTGGCCTCATAAGATGAGTTAGGGAGGAGTCCCTCCCTTTCAATTGTTTGGAATAGTTTTAGAAGAAATGGTACCAGCTCCTGTTTGTACCTCTGGCAAAATTCAGCTGTAAATCCATCCAGTCCTGTGCATTTTTTGGTTGGTAGGCTAGTTACTACTGCCTCAATTTCAGAACTTGCTCTTTTTCTAGTCAGGGATTCAAATTCTTGTTGTTTCACTCTTGGAAGCATGTATGTGTCCAGGAATTTATCCTTCTGTTGTAGGTTTTGTAGTTTATGTGCACAGAGGTGTTTATATATTATCTGATGGTTGTTTGTATTTTTGTGTGGTCAGTGGTGATATCCTCTTTATCATTTTTTATTGTGTCTATTTGATTCTTCTTTCTTTTCTTCTTTATTAGTCTAGCTAGCAGTATGTGTATTTTGTTAATTTTTTTTTCAAAAAAAATGCTCCTGCATTTGTTGATTTGTTGAAGGGTTTTTCGTGTCTCTACCTCCTTCAGTTCTGCTCTGAGCTTGGTTATTTCTTGTCTTCTCCTATTTTGGGGGTTTGTTTGCTTTTAGTTCTCTATTACTTTAGGTGTTATGTTAGGATGTGGATTTGAAATCTTTCTAGTTTTTTGATGTGGGCATTTAGTGCTATAAATTTCCCTCTTAACACTGCTTTAGCTGTGTCTCAGAGAATCTGGTTCGTTGTCTCTTTGTTCTTATTGGTCTCAAACAACTTCTTGATTTCTCTCTTAATTTCATTATTTACCCAGGAGTCATTCAGAAAAAGGTTGGTTCAATTTTCATGTAGTTCTGTGGTTTTAAGTGAGTTTCTTAATCTCGAGCTCTAATTTAATTGTGCCATGGTCTGAGAGACTGTTTGTTATTTATTCAGTTCTTTTGCGTTTGCTGAGTGTTTTACTTCCAATTATGTGATCAATTTTAGATTAAGTGCCATGTGGCACCAAGAAGAATGTATATTCTGTTGTTTTGGGGTGAAGAGTTCTGTAGATATTTTTCAGGTCCACTTGATCCAGAGCTGAGCTCAAGTCCCAAATATCTTTGTTAATTTTCTCTCGGTGATCAGTCTCATAAAGAAAGTGGGGTGTTAAAGTCTTCCACTATTATTGTGTGGGAGTCTAAGTCTCTATGTAGCTCTCTTATAACTTGTTTTATGCATCCGGGTGCTCCTGTATTGGGTTCATATAAATTTAGGATAGTTAACTCTTCTTGTTGAATTGACCCCTGGGCCATTATGTGATGTCCTTCTTTGTCTTTTTTTTTATCTTTGTTTGCTTAAAGTCTGTTTTTTCAAAAACTAGGATTGCAACCCCTGTGTTTTTTCTGTTTTCCATTTGGTTGGCAAATTCTCCTCTATCCCTTTATTTTGTGTCCATGTGTTTCTTTGCACATGAGATGGGTCTCTTTAATACAGCATATTAATGGGTCTTGACACTGTATCCATATTGTCATTCTGTTTCTTTTGATTGGGGCATTTAGCTCATTTACATTTAAGGTTAATATTGTTATGTGTGAATTTGATCCTGTCATTATGATGCTAGTTGGTTATTTTGCAGACTTGGTTATGTAGTTGCATCATAGTGTCATTGGTCTGTGTACTTCAGTGTGTTTTTGTAGTGGCTGGTAGTTGCTTTTCCTTTCCATATTTAGTGCTTCCTTCAGGAGCTCCTGCAAGACAGGCCTGGTGTTGATGAATTTCCTCAGCATTTGCTTGTCTGAAAAGGATCTATTTATCCTTTGTTCATGAAGCTTAGTTTGGCCAGATATGAAATTCTGGGTTCAAAATTATTTTCTTTAAGAATGTTGAATATTGGCCCCCAATCCCTTCTGGCTTGTAGGATTTCTGCTGAGAGGTCTGCTGTTAGTCTGATGGGCTTCCCTTTGTAGGTGACCTGGCATTTCTCTCTGATTGCCCTTAACATTTTTTTCCTTCATTTTGACCTTGAAGAATTTGATGGTTATTTATCTTGGAGAATTTGATGGTTATTTCTCATGCAGTATCTTACTGGGGTCCTCTAGATTTCCTGAATTTGAATGTTGGCCTGTCTTGCTAGGTTGGGAAGTTCTCCTGGATGATATTCTGAAGTTTGTTTTCCATCTTGATTCTATTCTCTCCACCTCTTTCAGGTACCCCAATCAGTCATAGGTTCGGTCTTTTTTACAACATCCCATATTTTTCAAAGTTTTTTTTTATTCCTTTTATTTTTTTCTCTAATCTTGTCTGCCTGCCTTATTTCAGCAAGATAGTCTTCGAGCTCTAATATTCTTTTCTTCACTTTCTCTATTCAGCTATTGATACTTGGGTTTGCATTGTGAAGTTCTCATGTTGTCTTTTTCAGCTCCATCACGTCATTTATGGTTCTCTCTAAACTGGTTATTCTAGTTAACAGCTCCTGTAATGTTTTATTATAGTTCTTATCTTCTTTGCATTGGGTTAGAACATACTCCTTTAGCTCAGCCAAATTCATTGTTACCCACCTTCTGAAACCTACCTCATTCTGTCAATTCATCCACCTGAGCCTCAGCCAAGTTCTGTGCCATTGCTAGAAATTTGTTGTGATCATTTGGAGGAGAGGAAGGGCTCTGGCTTTTTTAGTTTTCAGCATTTTTGCACTAATTCTCATCTTCATGGGTTTATCTACCTTTGATCTTTGAGGATGTTGACCTATGGATGGGGTTTTGTGTGGTCTTTTTTATTGATGTTGTTGTTGTTGCTTTCTGTTTGTTTTTCTTTTAACAGTCAGGCCCTTCTTCTGTAGGGCTGCTATGGTTTTCTGGGGGCCCACTCTGGACTCTATTTACCTGGTTTCCTCCAACACCCAGAGGTGTCACCAGTGGAGGCTGCAGAACAGAAAATGTGTCTGCCTGCTCCTTCTTCTAGGAACTCCACCCAAGAAGGGCACCAACCTGATGCCAACCGGAACGCTCCTGTATGAGGTGTCTGGAGACCCCTGTTGGGAGGTATCATCCAGTCAGGAGGAAGGGGATCAGGGACTTAAATAAGCAGTCTTACTGCCCCTTAGCAGAGTGGGTTTGCTGCACTGGGGAAATCCCTTCCTCCAGGCACCCAGACCCACCAGAAATGAGAGGCAGAAAAGACTAAGACTGCTGATCCATAATACTGTGGCCTCCCCTCTCCCTATGGCCTCCTCCCAAGAAGATCAGAGTTCTGCCTGTAAACCCCTGGGGATGCTGAAAATCCCACAGCGAGGCCCCCCCAGTGAAGAAGGATGGGTTGGGGTCCCACCTAAAGAAGCAGTCTGGCCACGATCTGTCACAGCCACACTGTGGAAAATTGCTTCCAGTTCAAACCACCCAGTCTCGTGGGCACCTGCAGTGGGAAACTGCCAGCTGCAGCCACAGTGGTTGTGGCCACCACTCCCTTGGGAACTCGATTGTCTTAGGCAGTTTCCAGCCTGCTGCACTGGCCAGTGGGGATTAAAAGCCAGGGGTTTTAGCTTGTGGGGTTCTGTGGAAGTGGGGCCCGCTGAATGATGCTGCTTGGCTCCGTGGCTTCAGCCTCATTTTTTTTTTTTTTTTTTTTTTTGAGACGGAGTCTCGCTCTGTCGCCTAGGCTGGAGTGCAGTGGCGCAATCTAGGCTCACTGCAAGCTCCGCCTCCCGGGTTCATGCCATTCTCCTGCCTCAGCCCCCCGAGTAGCTGGGACTACAGGCGCCTGCCACCACGCCCGGCCAGCTTTTTGTATTTTTAGTAGAGATGGGGTTTCACCATGTTGGCCAGGATGGTCTCGATCTCCTGAACTCATGATCCGCCCACCTCGGCCTTCCAAAGTGCTGAGATTACAGGCGTGAGCCACCACGCCCGGCCCAGCCTCATTTTTATGGGAATGGATGGATTTCCTGCCTCGCCAGGGTTTCCATAACTAGAGTATGCAAAAACTTCTGTGTCTCAGTGCCTGCTCAAGTGGTTGCCCACTCAAGTGGCCGCCACGAGTGCACAGCTCTTTGCTTGGGACCCAAGGCCTTGGTGGTGTGGGTTCATGAGGGTACCTCCTGATCTGCGGGTTGCAAAGATCCATGGGAAAAGTGTGGTTTACCAGGTGGGTAGCACAATCACTCACCACCTCCCTTGGCTGGGGAGAGAGAGCTCCCTTTGCCCCTTGCAGATCCCAGGTGAGCCCTGGCTCCCCGTGCTTTTTCTTACTCTCCTAGGGTTGTGACAACTACCTAGTCACATCCAATGAGAGAACCCGTGTACCTCAGTTGAAGATGCAGAATTCATTTGCCATTTTAATTCTTCTTGGTAGGAGCTGCAGATTGGAGCTTTTTCTATTAGATCATCTTGAACCTTCCCCTCACCTAAGTCTTTTGATAAGATCAATGAAAAACTGACATAGGTCACCACCACACATGCAGTTACCCAAAGAGACAAGATCTTGAAAACTGTTTTCTTTCACAAATGCAGATGGAAATAAAAGGACAGCTCTTCATTTATTGAGGAAGTTTCAATGTTTTTTACATATATGCACAAAACTTACAAACGAAGTCAACATTGTGATAATACACTTTGATGGAGTCAAATTTGCAAACATATGCATAACATGAATTTGAAGTTGATAAAAGTCTTTATAAAATGTATACATCCAGTATTGCAAAAGATGCAAAGATAAAATATGTAGCATAGCAAATTATTTTTTTAAATGCTGTCAATTTAAAATAGTGAAAAAAACTAAAAAGAAAATTCAATAGGTGAAAAATGTGTTACAGGGATAGATTATGGACAATTACATGGAGATAGTCCATAAGAGATGGCTGACTTTCACCATTAACTATTTTGAAGTCTTGCATCACAATAAATAGCTGCTTTTGTTCTTTTAGAACATGATTCTCAGAGAATACCTTCACGTTTACTTTCTATGTGGTGTTGCTTTTCCTGAAATTCTATGATTCCTCTGATTGTGATTTTTGGGATTTTAGGCATGAAGTATTTTAGACATTAGAGATTTAGTTTTAGGGATTTTAATCTGTCAGTATTTCAACATTTGGTATTATGATATTTGGGATTGTATTTTTTGGCATTATGACCCAAGCCTTCCGTACATGTATAGCTCTCCCCCTTGTATTCCAGGGCTGTATTTTTATATCTAACAGTCCCATAAGAATTTTGAAACTCAACAAATCCAAAACAGCACAGGTGATCTTTGCTATCCTTTAAGAAGCCTGGCTTTTCTCCTATATTGCAGATCTTAATAAATGGCCAACACTAACCCAAACCAAAAACCTGAAGTATGCTCAACCTCTTCTATTCCTTCACCTCTCCGATAAAGTTAGTGACCAAGTTCTGTCAATTCTGTGGATCTTTTGTATTTCAAATCCATGCGAACTTGCTCTTTTCATAAATACTACCAGTGTAGTATAACCTGGTTGGGCCCAAATGAGGCCTATTCTACTCTTTACAAGGCAACTTCTTTAGAGAATTGTCTATTCATTTCCTTAGCCCAATTTTGATAAGATTGTTTGGTTTTTTTCTTGCTGATTTGTTTGACTTCATTGTAGATTCTGGATATTAGTCCATGGTCAGATGTATAGATTGTGAAGATTTTCTCCCACTCTGTGGGTTGTCTGTTGACTCTGCTGACTGTTCCTTTTCCCATGCAAAACTTTCTAGTTTAATTATGTCCCTGCTATTTATCTTTGCTTTTATTGCATTTGCTTTTGGGTTCTTGGTCATGAAATTCTTGCTTAACTCAATGTCTAGAAGGGCTTTTCTAATGAATGTTATCTTCTAGAATTTTTATAGTTTCAGGTCTCATTTAAAAATTATTTATCACATCTTAACATTTTTTGGCTTCCTTACAGGACTTTGAGTGCCTCCTGGGTAGAGCCATTATCAAAATAATCGTTGTATTCCCTGACATCATTAGCCTGCAGCCTAACTGAGCGCAATACACTTGCTCAGTGTGAGTATGTATTTGAACTAAAGTAATGGCTCAGAACCCTTCTGAAAGGAAAGAAATAATTTCCTCCATAGAAAATGAGTTTTAATTGTTCCTCAGTTTGTAATATGAATTCTTACTTCCTTGCACAGAGGTGTAAAACAGCCTGATGTGAGTGGACAACTATAAGCAATTTTGTATGACTGTAGCACAGAGTGGGAGGGGAAAGCTCAACTCATAACAACAATGAAAATATTATCCCCAAAGATTCTAAAGCTGAAACGATTTCAAATTGTGCTGCTATAATATTTATATTTATATGTATATATGTATATATGTGTATATGTATATATGTATATATGTATATATATGTATATATGTGTATATATTCAAATTGTGCTGCTATATATATGTATATGTGTATATATAGATATATATAGATATTTATATAATGGAATAATACTCAGCCATAAAAAGGAATGAATCAATGGCATATATATATATATATATATATAAAATAACATATATCACAGTTTGTTTATCCACTCATTGATTGATGGGCATTTGGTTTGGTTCCACGTCTTTGCAATTGCAAATTGTGCTGCTATAAACATGCATGTGCAATTATCGTTTTTGTATAATGACTTATTTTTCTCTGGGTAGATACCCAGTAGTGGGATTGCTAGATCAAATGGTAGTTCTACATTTAGTTTGTTAGTTTTATAAAGAATATCCACACTGTTTTCCATAGTGCTTGTACTAGTTTACACTCCTGCCAGGAGTACAGAAGTGTTCTCTGTTCACCGCATCCATGCCAACATCTATTTTATTAAATTTTTTGATTATGGTCATTCTTGCAGGAGTAAGGTGGTATTGCATTGTGGTTTTGATTTGCATTTCCCTTATCATTAGAGATGTTGAGTATTTTTTCATAATTTGTTAGCCATTTGCATAGCCAAAGCAAGACTAAGCAAAAAGAACAAACCTGGAGGCATCACATTACCTGATTTCAAACTATATTACATGGCCATAGTCTCCAAAACAGCATGGCACTGGCATAAAAATAGGCACATAGACCAATGGAACAGAATAGAGAACCCAGAAATAAACCTAAATACTTACAGCCAACTGATCTTTGAGAAAGCAAACAAAAACATAAAGTGGGGGAAAGACACCCTTTTCAACAAATGATGCTAGGATAATTGACTAGCCACATGTAGGAGAATGAAACTGGATCCTCATCTCTCACCTTATATAAAAATCAACTCAAGATGGATCAAGGACTTAAATCTAAGACCTGAAACTTCTTCTACACAATATGTTTCACCAATGCTAATCTAAGTGAGGATGCTAAAAATTTTAGGTGATTAGGGGAAAGGAAGATCACTTAGGGCAAAATGACTCCAAGATAGCTTCATAAGTCAGTAAGTTGCTTTAGACAACACATCTTTGTGGTTCTCTTAACTTATCTTCCTTTCTCAAGTCTAAAAAACCCTGAAGTTGGCTGGGTGCTGTGGCTCATGCCTGTAACCCCAACACTTTGGGAGGCTGAAGCAGGTGGATTGCTTGGAATCCCTATCTTAAGACTTTGCTTGAGCCCAGGAGTTCAAGACCAGCCTGGGCAATATAGGGAAGCCCCGTCTCAATTAAAAGCAAAAATTAAAATTAGTTGAGTGTGGTGGCATTCACCTATAGTTCCAGCTACTTGGTTGGCTGAAGTGGGAGTACTGTTTGAGCCTGGGAGACAGAAGTTGCAGTGAGCCGAGATAGTGGCACTACACTCCAGATGGGTGACATAGTGAGGCCTTGTCTCAAAAAAAATAAAACACCCCCCAAAACCTGAAATAATTTGTAGAATGCTGTACATGTGTATTTTATCTAGGGAGAATCCACCGCTTTGATCATATGCTTGTAGAAGAGCATTACTTAAAAAAGGTGAATAATCACAGCTCAAAGTCTTAAGGTAGGGATTTCTAAGAGCATTTTTTCAGCTTGATATAATTTTATCACCCTCCACAAAATGTTTTTCCTGACATCTGCTTGAGCACCCATCATGAAGAGCAGAGCCATGCGTTCCATGCTTGATGCTTTGCAAACATTGCCCATATAATGGGAAGGGGAGAAAATTAATGTAAAGAAGGTGAACAATAGAAGGAAGCACCCAAGATTCTAGTTTTGATTTTGACATACAATAATCCAGTCACTAAACTTCTCTGGGTTCCATTTTCCTCCCCCAAAAATAGAAGCAGAAAAATGAAAATAATAACCTTCATCTTCCTACCTCACAAGTTTGTTTTCAGGATCCACTGACTTATATGAAAAGAGCTCAGGATTTGAAGTCACCCAGGCCTAGGTTTTAATCTCATTGCTGACATTCTCTAGATCTCTAGCTCATTGGATGTAGGCAAATTAATCATCTGAACCTCCACTTTCTACTCTTTAGCACAGGCATTATATTGTTTACTTAGTAAAGATTGGTGTCTTGATGAAGTAATATACATAAATAATCTGTTACAGTGCTTGTGTTTAATTACTGCTCCATAGGTATGTCCCCTTCTCTCACTTTCTGCCTCCCATTGAATCCTGCTCTTAGGAAAAAGGAGCAGATGTCTTGTACAGCTCATTTGGAATAAGAGTCAGTTCATGTACTCCCTATCTTAAATGTTTATGTCTGGTATGTGTGTAGTGTGATCTCCATTATAGGCCTAGAGAAGGAGGGAAGAAATTTGGAAAAAATCTGCTTAAAATCCTAAACATCTAGAGTTGAAACAAGAAGGGACTAACATTTGTGAGATTATTACTATTACTATCCCCATTTCAAAGATGAGGAAACAGCTTCAGTATAGTTAAGTGTCTTCCCCAAGTTTATGTAGTCAATAAGTGAGAGGGCCAGAATTCAAACCTACATATGCTTGATTTCTAATCTCTTCACTTCCTAAACTTATAGGCTATCTATCCACATTTTCCATGTTGAACAGGTATATTCTCTATGATATTCCTAGACTTAGCTTTTCTACTCCCTTGCGGTGTCTGCTGTTGTTCTGATGCCTTTATTAATCCTCATTTGCTTCTCCCACTCTTTCTTTCCAATGTTCATGCTTTGGATGAGTCTTTGTTTGAAAGCTCAACTGCTTGAAACACCACTACTCATATCTAAGCTTTAGCTGTATAGAGTACCCCAGACAAGGCATCTTTTCCAAGGCTAAGAAATAAGCCACAGCCATAATGAGGCTCTGATGACTTTAGCCAGCTAACTGGTCACACTTGAGAATCATTTGTTTGTACTGTAATGTCACTGAAGATGAGGCAGTATCCAACGTGTGCTAGATTTTCCCTCTTAGGCAAACAAACACATCACAGCAAAGAATAATGAAGATTCCATTCCTCACCCCAATTCAACTATTTTACATGAAAACCTTAAAAAAAAAAAAGAATCCCAAGCATCTGGCATATCCATTCCAAATGCCTGGGAATATTATGTTTTGTGCTCGAAACTAGAAACAAAACCCAGATGGCTTTCACCACAAATAATTCTGTCATCTTTACTTTTCTTGGCCTTAATTTGGCCCATAGTTGTAAGAGGTACTACCTCCAATGGACAAGGCAGAGGCATTTCAATCATTTCTCTGGCTGATGTTTAACTGACTGTTCTTGTCATGCACTTAAAGGCTGATATAATACAGAGAGTCACCTCCAGAACTCATGGTGGCCTCCATTAATTATGATTATGCTACCCTCATCTGCCAAAAAATGCTGCTGCTCAAATGTTACTGGAGTGCTTTTCTCAGTCTTGAGAATGATCAGTACTAATCCGTGGACATTCATGCTGAGTCTTGCCTTGAAACTTGTATCGCTGAAATGGCTGGAGGAAAGAGGGGAAGATTAATAGGGTAGAGACTGTGACCAGGAAACAAACAAAACTAATTTGCCCATACGGTAAATGACAATTGCAACTTGGCCTCATTAACTTCATACTCTGAATTTTTACCCAAAAGAGCCAACATACCTTCAAATAGAATGAAAAAAACGCTTAATCCATAAAAACATAGCAAGTCATTCCTACAGATTCAGGAATTTTTTCACCATGGGTAACTGATACAAAATGATGCCAAGCCAAGGCAGATTCAATAACTGATCCATCTTACCAGAATCTTTCAATGTCAAGTTGAAAATTACCTGGAAGGATTATTTTGTCCAGGCCATTTATTTTAAAGATGGAGAACCCACAAAGATGAAAGAGCTTGTCCAAATTATACATCCAGTTAGTGACAGCACCGGGACAAGACACAGGTCCCTTAGCTCATACTTTAATACATAAGGTGTATTGCATTGCAGTACAATGATTCTTTATTCTCATAGGACAGAGAGTGACTTAGAAACATACATTAATTTTAACTGTGACCTGGAAGACCAAAAGGTATTCCAGGAAGTAGTGAGGATCCTGGGGTAGCCAGGCTGCCTCAAGGATCCTGAGGAATTTTGCTCGTCCTTATTCTGTACCTCGTGTAAAATGAGATGAGGACAAAAACTTGAGGCTAACTTCAAATCTAAGGGTACTTTCTTTAAATTTTAGGTTTGGGAGCACATGTGTAGGTTTGTTACATGAGTATATTGCATAATGGTAAGGTTTGGGTTTTTAGTGGATCTGTCACCGAAGTAGTGAACATAGTACCCAACAGATAGTTTTTTGACCCTCAACCACTTCCTACCTACCCTTTTTTGGAGTCTCCAGTGTTTCTTATTTTCATCTTTGTGTTCATGTGTATTCATTGTTCAGCTTCCAATTGTAAGTAAGAAAATGTAGTGTTTGATTTTCTCTTTCTGACTTATTTCATGTAGCATAATGGCATCCAGCTCCATCCATGTTGAGGCAAATGACATACTTTCTTTTTTTTAATTATTATTATACTTTAAGTTTTAGGGTACATGTGCACAATGTGCAGGTTAGTTACATATGTATACATGTGCCAGGTTGGTGTGCTGCACCCATTAACTCGTCATTTAGCATTAGGTATATCTCCTAAAGCTATCCCTCCCCACTCCCCCCACCCCACAACAGTCCTCAGAGTGTGATGTTCCCCTTCCTGTGTCCATGTGTTCTCATTGTTCAATTCCCACCTCTGAGTGAGAATATGCAGTGTTTGGTTTTTGTTCTTGCGATAGTTTACTGAGAATGATGATTTCCAATTTCATCCATGTCCCTACAAAGGACATGAACTCATCATTTTTTATGGCTGCATAGTATTCCATGGTGTATATGTGCCACATTTTCTTAATCCAGTCTATCACTGTTGGACATTTGGGTTGGTTCCAAGTCTTTGGCATTGTGAATAATGCCGCAATAAACATATGTGTGCATGTGTCTTTATAGCAGCATGATTTATAGTCCTTTGAGTATATACCCAGTAATGGGATGGCTGGGTCAAATGGTATTTCTAGTTCTAGATCCCTGAGTAATTGCCACACTGACTTCCACAATGGTTGAACTAGTTTACAGTCCCACCAACAGTGTAAAAGTGTTCCTATTTCTCCACATCCTCTCCAACACCTGTTGTTTCCTGACTTTTTAATGACTGCCATTCTAACTGGTGTGAGATGGTAACCTCTGCAGACTTAAATGTCCCTGTCTGAGAGCTTTGAAGAGAGCAGTGGTTCTCCCAGCACACAGCTGGAGATCTGAGAACAGATAGACTGCCTCCTCAAATGGGTCCCTGACCCCTGACCCCCGAGCAGCCTAACTGGGAGGCACCCTCCAGTAGGGGCAGACTGACACCTCACACGGCTGGGTACTCCTCTGAGACAAAACTTCCAGAGGAACGATCAGACAGCAGCATTCACGGTTCACGAAAATCCGCTGTTCTGCAGCCACTGCTGCTGGTACCCAGGCAAACAGGGTCTAGAGTGGACCTCTAGCAAACTCCAACAGACCTGCAGCTGTGGGTCCTGTCTGTTAGAAGGAAAACTAACAAACAGAAAGGACATCCACACCAAAAACCCATCTGTACATCACCATCATCAAAGACCAAAAGTAGATAAAACCACAAAGATGGGGAAAAAACAGAGCAGAAAAACTGGCAACTCTAAAAAGCAGAGCGCCTCTCCTCCTCCAAAGGAATGCAGCTCCTCACCAGCAACAGAACAAAGCTGGACGGAAAATGACTTTGACGAGTTGAGAGAAGAAGGCTTCAGACGATCAAACTACTCCGAGCTACAGGAGGAAATTCAAACCAAAGGCAAAGAAGTTGAAAACTTTGAAAAAAATTTAGACGAATATATAACTAGAATAACCAATACAGAGAAGTGCTTAAAGGAGCTGATGGAGCTGAAAGCCAAGGCTTGAGAACTACATGAAGAATGCAGAAGCCTCAGGAGCCGATGCGATCAACTGGAAGAAAGGGTATCAGTGATGGAAGATGAAATGAATGAAATGAAGCGAGAAGGGAAGTTTAGAGAAAAAAGAATAAAAAGAAACGAACAAAGCCTCCAAGAAATATGGGACTTTGTGAAAAGACCAAATCTACATCTGATTGGTGTACCTGAAAGTGACTTCTCAATAAATTAGGTATTGATAGGACATATCTCAAAATAATAAGCGCTATCTATGATAAACCCACAGCCAATATCATACTGAATGGGCAAAAACTGGAAGCATTCCCTTTTCAAACTGGCACAAGACAGGGATTCCCTCTCTCACCACTCTTATTCAACATAGTGTTGGAAGTTCTGGCCAAGGCAATTAGGCAGGAGAAGGAAATAAAGGGTATTCAATTAGGAAAAGAGGAAGTCAAATTGTCCCTGTTTTCAGATGACATGATTGTATATCTAGAAAACCCCATTGTCTCAGCCCAAAATCTCCTTAAGCTGATAAGCAACTTCAGCAAAGTCTCAGGATACAAAATCAATGTACAAAAATCACAAGCATTCTTATACACCAACAAGAGACAAACAGAGAGCCAAATCATGAGTGAACTCCCATTCGCAATTGCTTCAAAGAGAATAAAATACCTAGGAATCCAACTGACAAGGGACGTGAAGAACCTCTTCAAGGAGAACTACAAACCACTGCTCAAGGAAATAAAAGAGGATACAAACAAATGGAAGAACATTCCATGCTCATGGGTAGGAAGAATCAATATCATGAAAATGGCCATACTGCCCAAGGTAATTTACAGATTCAATGCCATCCCCATCAAGCTACCAATGACTTTCTTCACAGAATTGGAAAAAACTACTTTAAAGTTCATATGGAACCAAAAAAGAGCCCGCATTGCCAAGTCAATCCTAAGCCAAAAGAACAGAGCTGGAGGCATCATGCTACCTGACTTCAAACTATAGTGCAAGGCTACAGTAACCAAAACAGCATGGTACTGGTACCAAAACAGAGATATAGATCAATGGAACAGAACAGAGCCCTCAGAAATAATGCTGCATATCTACAACTATCTAATCTTTGACAAACCTGAGAAAAACAAGCAATGGGGAAAGGATTCCCTATTTAATAAATGGTGCTGGGAAAACTGCCTAGCCAGATGTAGAAAGCTGAAACAGGATCCCTTCCTTACACCTTATATAAAAATTAATTCAAGACGGATTAAAGACTTAAACATTAGACCTAAAACCATAAAAACCCTAGAAAAAACCTAGGCATTACCATTCAGGACATAGGCATGGGCAAGGACTTCATGTCTAAAACACCAAAAGCAATGGCAACAAAAGCCAAAATTGACAAATGGGATCTAATTCAACTAAAGAGCTTCTGCACAGCAAAAGAAACTACCATCAGAGTGAACAAGCAACCTACAAAATGGGAGAAAATTTTCACAACCTACTCATCTGACAAAGGGCTAATATCCAGAATCTACAATGAACTCAAACAAATTTACAAGGAAAAAACAAACAACCCCATCAAAAAGTGGGCGAAGGATATGAACAGACACTTCTCAAAAGAAGACATCTATGCAGCCAAAAAACACATGAAAAAATGTTCACCATCTCTGACTATCAGAGAAATGCAAAGCAAATGACATACTTTCATTCCTTTTAAGACTCCATGGTATTCCATTGTGTATACATATCACATTTTCTTTATCTAATCATACTTGATAGACACCTAGGTTGATTCCATGGCTTTGCTACTGTGAATAGTGCTGCAATAAACATGCAAGTGCAATTGTCTTTTTGATTAAATGATTTATATTCCTTTTGGTAAATATCCAGTAGTGGGAGTGCCAGGTCAAATGGTAGTTCTATTTTTAGTTCTGTGACAAATTTCCATACTGTTTTCCATAGGGGTTGAAGTAATTTGTATTCCCACAAGAGTGTGCCTTGCATTCTGTGTTAATTTTTGTATATGATGAGAGATAGGTGTTAGCTTCATTCTTCTACATATGGCTAGCCAGCTTGCTCAGCACCATTTATTGAATAAGGTGACTCTTGCTTGTTTTCATTTTTTGTTTGTTTGTTTTGTTTTGTTTTGAGACCAAGTTTCACTCTTGTGGCCCAGGCTAGAATGCAGTGGTGCTATCTAGGCTCACTGCAACCTCTGCCTCCCAGGTTCAAGTGATTCTCCTTCCTCAGCCTCCTGAGTAGCTGGAATTATAGGTGGCTGCCACCATGTCCAGCTAATTTTTGTATTTTTAGTAGAGACAGTGTTTTTCCATGTTGGCCAGGCTGGTCTCAAACTCCTGACCTCAGATGATCCACCCACCTCAGCCTCCCAAAGTGCTGGATTGCAGGGTGAGCCACCACACCGGGCCCATTGCTTATTTTCATCAGCTTTGTCAAAGATCAGTTGGTTGTAGGTGTGTGGCTTTATTTCTGGATTCTCTATTCTGTTCCATTGATCTGTGTGTCTATATTTTTACCAGTACCATGTTGTTTTGGTAGCAATAGGCTTGTAGTATTGATTGAAGTCAGCTAATGTGATGCCTTCAGCTTTGTTCTTTTTGCTTAAGATTGCTTTGGCTATTCAGGCTCTTTTTTGTTTCCATATGAATTTTAGGATTTTTTTTTTCTAATTCTGTGGAAAATGGTAATTTTTTTCTTATTGCTCAGGAAAACTTTGGCCATTCTGGTTGTTTGTGATTCTATATAAATTTCAAGATTTTTAAATTTTTATTTCTATGAAGAATGTCATTGGTATTTTGATTGATAGGAATTGTATTGAATCTGTAGATTGCTTTGGGTTGTATGGACATTTTAACAGTATTTATTCTTCCAATCCATGAACACAAAATATATTTACATTTTTGGTGCCCTCTTCAATTTCTTGCATCAGTGTTACATAGTTTTCATTATAGAGATCTTTCCCTTCTTTCATTAATTCCTAGGTATTTTATTTTATTTTTGGCTATTGTCAATACAATTACTTCTTTTATTTCTTTTTCAGATTATTCACTGTTGGCATATAGAAATGATACTAATTTTTGTATGTTGATTTTGTACCTGCAAGTTTACAAAATTTGTTTATCAGTTCTAATAGATTTTGTTGTAGTCTTTACGTTTTTCCAAACATAATAAGATCATGTCATTTACAAACAAGAATAATTTGACTTCTTCCTTTCCAATTTAGAGGCATTTTATATTTTTCTCTTATCCGATTGCTCTATCTAGGATTTCCAATATTATGTAAATAACAGTGGTGAAAATGAATACCCTTGTCTTCTTGCAGATCTTAGAAGAAAGACTTTCAGGTTTTCCCCATTAAGCATGATACTAGCTGTGGATTTTTTATATATGTCTTTTATTATGTTGAGGCATGTTCCTTCTATACCCAGTTTTTGAGTGTTTTTATCCTTAAGGGATATTGGCTTTTATCAAATGCTCTTTCAGCATCAATTGAAAGGGTAATGTGTTTTTTTTTTTCCTTCAGAATGTTCATATGATGTGTCACATTGATTGATTTACATATGTTGAACCATCCATGCAACCCTGGGAAAAATCCCACTTGGTCATGATGTATGATCTTTCTTATGTATTATTGAATTTGGTTTGCTAGTATTTAGATGAGAATTTTTTGCATCAATATTCATCAGAGATATTGGCCTGTAGTTTTCTTTCCTTTTGAAGTGACTTTGTCTGGTTTTGGCATCAGGGTAATACTGGTTTCATAGAATATAGTTTGAAAATATTTCCTCCTCTCCTGCTGTTTGGAATAGTTTGGGTAAGGTTAGTATTAGTTCTTTTTTAAACGTTTGGTAGAATTCAGCAGTGAAGTCATTGGGTTCCAGGCTTTTATTTACTGGGAGACTAATTACAGCTTCAATCTTGTTACTTGTTATTGGTCTGTTCAGGTTTTGGATTTCTTCGTGGTTCCATCTTGGTAAGTTGTATTCATCTAGGAATTCATCAATTTACTCTAGATTTTCCAATTTATTGGCATATAGATGCTCATAGTGGCCACTAGTGATCCTTATAATTTCAGTAGCATCAGTTGTAATGTCTTCTTTTTTATGTCTGATTTAATATATTTGGATATTCTACCTTTTCTTTTTACTAGATTGACTAAATGATTTTTAACTTTGCTTATCTTTTCAAACAAGTGACCCTGTTTCATTGATCTTTTTATTGTTTCCTTCATTACAATTTTACTTATTTTTGCTCTGATACCTATTATTTATTTTCTTCTACTAAATTTGGGTTCTCTTTACTCTTGCTTTTCTAGTTCTTTAAGATGTATCACTAGGTTATTTTTTTTCTTTTGTCTCCTCTGATTTTGTATTTTCAAATAGCTTGTCTTCAAGCTCACAAATTCTTTCTTCTGCTTGATCAGTTTTATTAAGAGACTCTGATGCACTCTTCAGTATATCAATTGGATTTTTCAAGTGTAGAATTTCTGCTTGATTATTTTTAATTACTTCAATCTCTTTGTTAAATTTATCTGATAGAATTCTGAGTTCCTCTCTGTGTTATCTTTAATTTCTTTGAGTTTCCTCAAAACAACTATTTTGAATTATCTTTCTGAAATCTCACATACCTCTGTTTCTCCAGGATTTGTCCCTGGTGTATTATTTAGTTCATTTTTGTTAGATAGTATTTTCCTGGATGATTCTTTGAATCTTATTGATGTTTCTCAGTGTCTGGGCATTGAAGAGTTAGGTATTTATTTTAGTCTTCACAGGCTGTGCTTCTTTGTTCCTGCTCTTCTTGAGAAGGCTTTCCAGGTATTGAAATTGACTTGGTCCCCAAGCCCAACAACCCTGTGATTTTTGCAGACTCATAGAAGTAACACCATGTGGTCTTGGATAAGATCTGGAAGGATTCTCTGGATTATCAAGCAGATATTCTTGTTCTTTTCCTTTGCTTTCTCACAAAGAAATGGAGTCTCTTTCTTTGTGCTGAGCTGCTTTCAACGTGGGGTGAGGTGATGCAAACACCCCTGTGACCACCACCACCTGGACAATACTAGGTCAGACCTGAAGCCAGCAGACTGCTAGGTCTCGTCCAAGGCCAATTGTAACTAGTACTTGGTTACAACCTATGTTCACTCAAGGCCCTAGGACTCTATGATAAGCTGGCTTCAAAGCCTGCCAGGTTTGTGTCCTTCCCAAAAATCACTGCCCACAAATCAGGGCAGTGATTTCCCCCAGGTCCTAGGAGCATCCAGAGATACTGTCTGGGAGCTGGGGATTGGGTTCAAAAACCTTAGAAATTTGCCTGATGTTCTATTCTACAGTCACTAAGTTGGCACTCAAACCACAATACAAAGTCCTTCCTACTCTTTCCTCCCCTTTCCATAGGCAGAGGAGCCTCTCCCTGTGGCCACTACTACCACCACCAGGTGTTTGGGTCACAGGGCCAGATATCTCATAAATGGCTTAGTGCTATTCTGACAGTAGTAAGTTCATTCTTGCTCTGATGATCCTAGATTAATCCTCTCAGGAGTGGATTAGGTCTCATGAAATTGGGTTGTGGCAAAGCCAGGATGCTTTTCAGGTTTTGCTCTTCCTACATGCCTGCTTCTCTTTGACTTTCCACCATAATTTTATGCAGCATGAATGCCCTCACCAGAGGCCAAGTGGATGCCAGCACTATGTTTCTTGAACTTCCCAGCCTGAAGACCACGATCTAAATATTATTTTTTCTTTATAAATCACCCAACCTCAAGTACTCTGTTATAGCAACACAAAACAGAGTAAGACAGCGTTTTGTTAATTTTATTCACAGTTCTAGTATCTAGATCAATGATTGCACTCAATTAAGTGCTATATTAATATTTGTAAAGAATGGATTAATCGAATTAATGAAAGATGAATGGACCTATTTATGTGTTGTAGCCTTTCCAAGGTGCATTTGACAGGCCACCTTGCTAAAATTTACAGTTTTTAGAGGATAATAATAAAAAAAGGGTGGGAAAGAAAGTGGGATGAAATAACTGACAGCCTTTATGGACAGGCTAAAGTGAGATTTTTTTGTCAGTAGAAAGTTATCAGAGTCACTTGATTTAGAAAGTAATATTATCAAGGCTGTATTGAGAAACATTTTCTGGTAGTAATTCAGAGTATATATGGTAAGGAGAAGTAATTAGGGACAGAGAGATGTCAGAATTATAAACTATGATAGTTAGAATGGAGTTTAGCATTATCTAGTCCAGTCTTCCAACAAGTGCTAGAATCATATTTACTACTTCCCTGACTAAAACAAGGTCACCTTTTTGCGAAGATAAGCTCCATGAACACAATAACTTTTTATCGTATTCACTTGTGTATACCCACAGTCTGACACAGAGCTTGGTAAACAGTAGGCATATAATAAATATCTGTTACATGAATGAATGAATCTAGTCAGTGCTTACATACTTACAGTAAGCATGTTCACTAGTTCAAAATTATTCCACTGTAAAGTATCTATGTTAAAAAATTAATCTACATTCCTTGACAAAAGCCTGTCTTCCCAATAGTTTACACCCAATGACTTTACTTCTGCTCCCTCTAACCTACATAAATGACAGTACTAATTACTATCATTTTTGAAGGTATAGAATACATCTAGCCTTACAATTATTTTGGCTTGTAAATGGGTTTCAGTAAGAAGTGAGGCAAGATATGTTAAAATGATTTTAAGAAGTTTTATGAAAGCAGGAAACTTGTCAGTGATTATATCAACTGTGCCTAGCACAGAGCTGGCACATAGTAGATATCCAGTAAATATTTTAAGTGTTTATTTTATTTACTAACAGTATGAGGGAGTCCAAAAAGAATAGTTGGAGAATCATTTCAAGTTTTTGAATTTTGATGAATGAAGTCACCATTTCCAAAACAGGGAAGTCATGAGGAAGAAGTTAGTTAGAGACATGGGGGAAAAGTGATTAGTGAAATTTTATGAAATGCTGTTTTGCGATAATAGCAGGATCTTCCTAGTTCGCAGTGGTTGTTACAAATGATGCTTAACATTCTTTGCAACAATTAGACTTGCTTGTCTATATAAGGCAAGAGACAGCAATTTGAGATTTATCCAAGTAGATGATAATCAAACTGTGAAAGTTGATATGTCATTCAAAGCAGGAAATTATTAGAATTGAAGACAAAGTGTTTTAAACTGAAGGTAGGGAAATAGAAAGTGGAACTTACATAAAATATCAAGGAAGAGCAATAATAAAAGTAAAAGGGAAATCCAAATAGTGTGGTGTCACAGGAAAAGAACAGATATAGATGCACTAAATAGACACTATTGGACTGGACTGAAAGGTTACTGATCTCCAAAAGTGTTACTGGGAGACAGTACAGCATAGTTGTAAAGAGCATCAACTCTGGAGCCAGACTGCTTGGATTGTAATCCTGGTTCTACCTCTTACTGTTTGTGTGACTTTGAACAAGTTGTTTGACCTCTTCATGACTATGTTTCTTCATTTATAAAATTTATAGGTGTATTAGTCTATTCTCACACTGCTATACAGAACTACCTGAGACTGGGTAATTAATTAACAAAAGAGGTTTAATTGACTCACGGTTCTGTAGCCTGAAAAGGAAGCATGGCTGAGAGGCCTCAGGAAACTTACATCATTTTAAAAGACGAAGAGGAAGCAAGTACATCTTTACCATGGCAGAGCAGGGAGAGAGAGAATGAACGGGGAAGCGCTACACGCTTCCGAACAACCAGATCTCGTGAGAACTCTATCATGAGAACAGCAAGGAGGAAGTATGACCCCATGATGTCGCCTCCCACCTGGAAACTCCTTCAACATGTGGGGATTACAATTCAACATGAGATTTGGGTAGGAACACCGAGCCAAATCATTTCAATAGGGTAATAATAAATAGTACCTACCACATGGACTTATTGTGAAGATTAATAAGTTAAATTATGTAAAGCATTCACTAAATATTAGCTATGATTACTACGTGGGCATTGAGAAAATGGAAGCAATAAGTATTTTGGAAGAGTGAGTAAATGGAAACAATGAGTATTTTGGCAATGAAAGAATGAAGACAGCAAACAAGCAAAGGAGCACAAGAAAATATTTGGAGGTGATGAATGTATTTAATACATTGATTGTGGTGATGATATCACAGGTGTATGAATATGTTCCAAATTATCAAGTTGTATACATTTAAATATGTGCAATTATTTGTATATTCATTGTACCTCAATAGAGCTCTAAAAATAATGAAGGGAGCTAGCCAGAAGGAAGAGGGAAGTAAAAAAAAGTGAATTTTTTTCAGGATGTTGAGCATGTGCAAAGAGTAGAGGCCAAGAGGTTTGTGTTAAGGAGAGGGGTAGAATCAAGTATAGGATGTGATTAAAGATTCAGCTCAATAGATTATGCTGAAAGAGGAGGAATACAGATAGAAGAAAAAGGGAAAGTACTAGGGTAATTTAAAAAGTGACCATCCATTGAAAAGTAGGTCAGTGAATAAGCTTATAGCGAATGGCATCAGTTTTCCCCAAAAAAATAATTAAAAAAGTTTAACTATCAAAGAGAAAGGACTAGGCCCAGGTGCCCAGAAGACACCACAACAAAGGAGGAATACACTAGACAACCACAACAAATCAGCATTACATTAGAGAATCACAGAGCCTCTTGGTATACCCAACTTACAAAGAGCAGGCTCTCACACACTCATTTTTTGATTAAGTGGAACTCTGAGTTTGCATACTCAGCAAAAAGAGGACTGTGCAATGGCTGGAAATATAAAAAGATATTCTTCATAATTTTTACCTGTATAGTAATTTATTATGTATGTCAAAGTAAATCTCAAGCCAGCCCAAGAAGACTCAATTAGAACTATATGGCTCAGCCAGGCATGGTGGGTCACGCCTGTAATCCCAGCACTTTGGGGGGCCGAGGCGGGTGGTTCACTTGATGTCAGAATTTCAAGACCAGCCTGACCAACATGGTGAAACCCCATCTCTACTAAAACTACAAAAATTACCTGGGCGTGGTGGTGGGTGCCTGTAATCCCAGCTACTCGGGAGGCTGAGGCAGCAGAATCGCTTGAACCCAGGAGGCAGAGGTTGCAGTGAGCCGAGACAGTGCCACTGCACTCCAGCCTGGGTGACAGGAACTATATGGCTTAAGCAGTATGAACTATATGGCTCGAGCAGTAAGAACTATATGGCTCAAGCAGTAAGAAACACTTGGCACATTTTCTTTGTGAAATGCAGGTGTGTTAATTACCCTTTTGGGATCTGTGCCAGTGTGACCAATTCCTGGAGGAATACTTTGGAGGACATGTCAAAAGTTAACTGAATGGAAATCTTCATGTCTTTTTAAAATTTCCTAATTGCTAGTAGATTGTTGCTATTTTCTCTCATTTCCTAAATCAGGTTTTTCTACCTGTGTCATCTCCTACCACTCAATCCTAGAAAAAAAAGACACAACCATTATGCATTTCTATGACAACAACTTTATGGAAATCAATATGACATGCCTGGGTTTGTGTGGGACTACAAAGCAAATGTTTCTTTCAGGGAAGGATTTTTATTAGACCACACCAGCATGCAAAGGCAGGATGACATTATGGCTTGTGCACACAGTAATCTTTTCCATTTTATAAGGTGCATAATCAGTGGCTTATCATGAACTCAGTTTAATCAGACCTGATGAAAATAATCTCTCTAGTCAATACCAATGTCCTGCTCAAAAGCATTCAATGGCCTTCTACACCCAAGGACCTTAGCCTGGCAACTAAGGGCCTTCACAACCTGGTCCCAAACCACTTTTCAATCTTGACTCACACTGCTCCTTCTCATCCTGTACACTACCTAATCTAAACTAAAGTATTCAATACTTTCCACACATTCTCCAAACTTGTCCTTCCATGGCTTTACTTAGGCTCTTCCTTGTGCCTCAAATCTCATGCCTACCCCTCCATCGCTGTTTCTGCATGTCCAAAGTCTGCTATTATTTATGACACAACTCTATTGTCACCATCTACCTAAAGCTTTCTCTCTTTCTCTCTCTCCCCCATCGCCCCCCCATTCCTTCCCTCCCTCTTTCTCTCACTCTCTCATCAGGACTTCCAGAGCACTTTTGCCATATTTCTCTTATAAAACTTAGTCTTTATTCCTTGCATTATATGGCTTCTCATATATGTGCCTTATAAAGCCTCTTTGAGGACAGGATTGAAAGCGATTCATCACTGAAACTCCCACAGCATAATTCAGCATAGTGGTACATGGTAGCTTTAAGAAACTATTGGTGTCTGCAAATAGGGACAATTTGACTTCCTCTTTTCCTAATTGAATACCCTTTATTTCCTTCTCCTGCCTGATTGCCCTGGCCAGAACTTATATCTAGAAAACCCCATTGTCTCAGCCCAAAATCTCCTTAAGCTGATAAGCAATTTCAGCAAAGTCTCAGGATACAAAATCAATGTACAAAAATCACAAGCATTCTTATACACCAACAACAGTCAAACAAAGAACCAAATCATGAGTGAACTCCCATTCACAATTGCTTCAAAGACAATAAAATACCTAGGAATCCAACTTACAAGGGATGTGAAGGACCTCTTCAAGGAGAACTACAAACCACTGCTCAAGGAAATAAAAGAGGATACAAACAAATGGAAGAACATTCCATGCTCATGGGTAGGAAGAATCAATATCGTGAAAATGGTCATACTGCCCAAGGGAATTTATAGATTCAATGCCATCCCCATCAAGCTACCAATGACTTTCTTCACAGAATTGGAAAAAACTACTTTAAAGTTCATATGGCACCAAAAAAGAGCCCGCTTCATCAAGTCAATCCTAAGCCAAAAGAACAAAGCTGGAGGCATCACGCTACCTGACTTCAAACTATACTGCAAGGCTAAAGTAACCAAAACAGCATGGTACTGGTACCAAAACAGAGATATAGATCAATGGAACGAAACAGAGCCCTCAGAAATAACGCTGCATATCTACAACTATCTGATCTTTGACAAACCTGAGAAAAACAAGAAATGGGGAAAGGATTCCCTATTTAGTAAATGGTGCTGGGAAAACTGGCTAGCCAGATGTAGAAAGCTGAAACTGGATCCCTTCCTTACACCTTATACAAAAATCTATTCAAGATGGATTAAAGACTTAAATGTTAGACCTAAAACCATAAAAATCCTAGAAGAAAACCTAGGCATTACCATTCAGGACATAGGCATGGGCAAGGACTTCATGCCTAAAACACCAAAAGCAATGGCAACAAAAGACAAAATTGACAAATGGGATCTAATTCAACTAAAGAGCTTCTGCACAGCAAAATAAACTACCATCAGAGTGAACAGGCAACCTACAAAATGGGAGAAAATTTTCGCAACCTACTCATCTGACAAAGGGCTAATATCCAGAATCTACAATGAACTCAAACAAATTTACAAGAAAAAAACAAACAACCCCATCAAAAAGTGGGCAAAGGACATGAAGAGACACTTCTCAAAAGAAGACATCTATGCAGCCAAAAAACACATGAAAAAATGCTCACCATCACTGGCCATCAGAGAAATGCAAATCAAAACCACAATGAGATATCATCTCACACCAGTTAGAATGGCAATCATTAAAAAGTCGGGAAACAATAGGTGCTGGAGCGGATGTGGAGAAATAGGAACACTTTTACACTGTCGGTGGGACTGTAAACTAGTTCAACCATTGTGGAAGTCAGTGTGGCGATTCCTCAGGGATCTAGAACTTGAAATACCATTTGACCCCGCCATCCCATTACTGGGTATATACTCAAAGGACTATAAATCATGCTGCTATAAAGACACATGCACACATATGTTTATTGCGGCATTATTCACAATGCCAAAGACTTGGAACCAACCCAAATGTCCAACAGTGATAGACTGGATTAAGAAAATGTGGCACATATACACCATGGAATACTATGCAGCCATAAAAAATGATGAGTTCATGTCCTTTGTAGGGACATGGATGAAATTGGAAACCATCATTCTCAGTAAACTATCGCAAGAACAAAAAACCAAACACCGCATATTCTCACTCAGAGGTGGGAATTGAACAATGAGAACACATGGACACAGGAAGGGGAACATCACACTCTGGGGACTGTTGGGTGGGGGGAGGGGGGAGGGATAGCATTGGGAGATATACCTAATGCTAGATGACGACTTAGTGGGTGCAGCGCACCAGCATGGCACATGTATACATATGTAACTAACCTGCACATTGTGCACATGTACCCTAAAACTTAAAGTATAATAATAATAAATAAAATAAAATAAAAAATTTTTAAAAAAAGAAACTATTGGTGAAATGAATGGCCATGCTTACAGACTAAGTGTTCTTATCCAGCAGTTTTAAAAGTTTTACTTTAGAAGCAGAGCAATTATGCAAATAAAATCTTATGTGCAAAATCAGTATATAAAATTGATACATTCTCTGGATGAAACTGAGGTAGTGGTGGGCCTTATCCCCTGCCTCCCTCTCACTGATATACACAGCAGCTTCTGAAGTATCTATGCAGAATTTCCATAATTCACCTGAATGCAGTTTGAGAAACATAGGTCTGATTCATGATTAGCTTTATTGTTTTACACACAGGTCCAGCCTTGTAGGTGCCACTGCATGTGACATGAAAGGAGCTTGAATTCCCTTGGATCAAAAATCAATCTCAAAAACAATCCCTCAATGACCTTCCTTATTACCTAATACTCTCACCTTGAAGTGTGTCTAAGAAACCCCTGTAAAAATACAAATGTTACTATAAATCCCTTTAGCAAATTAACTGTGTTTGCTGCCTCAAATAATGGAATCTCCATTCACCAATTGCTCAAGCCCAAAACCTAACTCCATTCTCTGATCCCTTACAACCAATCAGTCAATAAATACTTTTGATTCTACCTTCTAAATACCTCTCAAATATGTATTTATTTTTACTTGCCCACAATAATCACCTTAGTTGAGATTGCCACTGGCTCTTGCCTAATTACTGCATTGGAAGCTTTCTGATTTGTCTCTGTGATTCCACTTATGACTTTTTCCAATTCATCCTACATGATATAGCAGAAGGAATATTTCTAAAACAGAAATCTAATGATTGTCTTAAAATGCATCAATGCCTTACTATTATAAATGTAGCTTCCAAACTTCCTAATGTAGCCTACAAGTCCGTATATAATCTGGCCCCTGTCTCTCAAGTCCCATCTGTTGACACTGCCCTCTTCATACTCTTTATCCCAGTCACATGAAAATACTTTTAGTTCCTTCTATGTGCCACGATTTTTTTTTTACCTCTAGGCTTTCACATACACTAGTTTCTTAGCCTAAACACTCTCTCCTCTCCTGTCCAGATCTCAGTCTTTTACCACTGGCTAATCTGTAATTAATAATTAATCTGTAATTAATCTGAAATTAAGTATCAATTGTTTCAAGAAGACTTTCTTTATCTCAATCTTTTCATCCTCCCCGACATTGGATAGATGATTCCCCTTCCTTCTCCCATAGCACCCATACTTCCATGCTAACAGCACTTAACTCACTTGCTTAAAATTTTTCATTTTCATTTCTTCATCTTCTACCTGAAGGTAAACTCTATGAAAGCAGAGTCCATATCTCTCTTTTTCACAGTTCTAATTCTAGTTAAAATCAAAGTACAAGCATGTAATTCTGGCATGTAGTAGTTGCACAATAATCTTTTGTTGGCTGGACGAAGAAACTAGCAGAAGTTTTCTCATGATGGAAACCAAAAAGATGGGACTCGATATAGGAGGGAGAAGATGGGTAGCAAAAGTCTCAGGTACTACATTAAGTGGGATAACCTCAGTAGCATGAGGCCGTGAAAACTGGTTTCTTCAAATTAACCATCTCCTTGTATTAATTAAGGTTGTTTCTTTACTACTAGACTGATAGAACCAAAGGAAAAAAAGCCCCCTTTATGGCATACTGCAATCCAGCTGAAGAACTGGAGATGGCAATTATCTACTGTCAAACAGTGTTTTATGTCACTCCCTTTCAGCCTCTTCTTGTGAACAGTACTTTAGTCTCACTCTGAGAGCTAGCTGATGATGGATGCAGACACACAAGTACTTAGGTCTTTTTTCCTGCATCAGGTAACTTTTCTATTCCTCTTTCTCTTCTACTCAGAGCTTCTTTCATCTTGAATAGGTACCCAATACTCTGTGCTGTATAATTTATCATGTTTATCTAAGCCTATTACCTAGTCAAGATGTGACTATAATCCATTTAAATATTAATATAAATAAAAATAACATCTCACATTGTATTAAGCAGATGCTATAAATGAGGCCCTATAGTAAGTGCTTAGCACGTAAAAACTCTCTCAATTCTCAATAACACTATGAGGAAGTTACTATTATCCCTATTTAACAGAGGAGAGAAAAGGGACTTAGAAAGATTAAGAACTTTTCTAAATCCACATATCTAATAAGGCAGATCTGGGATTTTAACTCCTCGGGTTTATTTGACTCCAGTGTTTTAAACAGAAAATATTACGTCTCCCACATAAGATTATTTTAATGTTTCCCAGATCTAGGGATGTGCTTGTGTGACTGTTCTCGGCCTCCTGAATAAAACAAAAGGGCTTCATAGAATAAGAAGCAAGTTTAGGAAGAGCAGGAGAGAGTTTTGGAACTACTCAGACCATATATAGCATATGTGCAGACCCTGCCCTAAAGACAAGAACTTCTAGCCTAAGTCTAGGGCAATGAGAGAGATCATAAGTGAAACACACCAATTCACTTAGTATAAGGGCTTCTCAGGTGAGTAAAGTATACATAGCGTGGGCACAAGGAAGAATTTTATGCAGTGGCCTTGGTCAATTAACCCACAAATCTCTATTGTTAAATCTGCTTTAGTGCCAGGTGTTGGGGTGAACACAGAAGGTAAGAACAATCCCTGGTTACAAACATTGCATTGAGAACATATCACTAACAGGGGAAAACTATTAACAAGTACCTCTAGAGTTCTGATGATGTGTTCAAAGTTTCATTGAGCAGGGGAAGATGTAAGCAACACTGGAGTGTGGATTAGACTTCCTTGAGAAGGCAGAGACTGACTTAAGTCTTGAAGACTGAATTGGACTGAGTGGAAGAGAGAATAAATGAGGGAGTAGAGAGAATGTAAGAACTTTTGAGGGGGAAGGAAAAAGGTTAAAGAAACTACCAGAAGTAAGGGTAGGGGAACAATAAAAGATGGGGGAAGGCTGGAGCTGCGCCTTTTGGGAAACAGTAGGGAAAGGCCAGAATTGCTTGCTGTGTTCCCCGTACTTTTTGATTCAGCTCATTCTCCCATGTGTTCAGATCCCCTTATTTGTCCTCTGGGCTCTGAAAAGCAGCAGCAGACAAGGTTGGAAAATCCATTCGTATGCTATGTAAACATACTGCTACCCACATAAAAGATTCATGGTAGAAATAATGAATGGACTCTCATATGTTCTAAAGAATAGCCCACTCCCCCCCAGTAGCCTACATGTGGTTCCAGCCAGCGCCAAGGCATATGTACTTTCTTAATTCCAAAGCAATAGGAGACTTTCTCACAAAGCACTCTAGTCAGGAGATGTTTCGTGTTGTTTCTAGGTAATAGGAAACTATGCCCAAGATGTGCAAGCTTGCTTGAGATAGCTTGATATGGAGTGAAGAGTAGCAGTTCATTGATAAGAGAAAGGGAACCTCTAATTATTGAGTGCCTAATCTGGGCCAGCTTCCATGTTCCCTACCTTTACAACCATCATCTTGTTAATCTATCATAACATTGTGAGAAAGATATTATCATAATTTTATTAATTGATCAAATAAAATCTGAGAGAGGTTGAAAAACTTACCTAAGATAAAATTCCTAGTAAGTTACAAATCAGAGATTAGATTTGAATTTAAGTCTATTTGGTGAAGGATATTATGGCAATCAATTCATACTGGATTGTTCTGAATTATTCTGCTTTTATAACTGAAAGTTCTGTATTCTGAAAATTCCACTGGTCCCAGATAGACTGGGATGGTTGGTTACTGTAGGAGAGGCATAATATTATTTACTAACCCTGAGAAAGTCACATAGCTTCTTTAAACCTCAGTTTTCTTCTATATGAAATAATGAAATACTGACAGCAATCTCTGCCTTATGTAACTCAACAAGAGTGTTGTAAAAATCCAGTGGATAATGAATGTGAAAGGCATTTGAGTATCATTAAGAACTAGACAAATAAAAGGAATCAATATTCTTTTTTCCTTACTTTCATCAGATATAACTAAAAACAACTGTTAAAATTTTAAAGAGGATTCTGAACACATGCACACACACACACACACACACACAACACAGAGTATCCCTTCTCCCTTTAAAATATTGGCATTATGAACTAATAATATCCACTTTACAAACTTGGATGTTGGATCAGGTTTTGCCCATATAAAAGGAAGCATATTTAGGGAAATTGAAGCCTATAAGAATGAAGATTCTACTCAATGTGATTTATGATCCAATCTTGGCTCTATACTTTTTTCTTTTCTGGACATTTTATTGACATTCAGAACATTTGAACAGAAAGAAATTCACATCCCATAATTTCTGTTACTTGAGCTTCAAACCTATATTTATAACTGCCTACTGGGATTCACCACCTGAATATTCTACAGGCAATTCAACATTAACAAGTCCCAAATTGAACTCTCTCTCTCTGCTTCCATTTTCTCTCCATTCCAACTCTCTCTCCACCAAACTAGAAGACTGCTTCTTCTGGATTTCTCGGTGCAGTGAATTGCAATCTGCATTTCTCTCTCTCCTTTAATTTGCCTAAGTGTGATGTCTAATAACTCATCACTAAATCCTACAGCTTCAATCTCCATAACATGTGTCGTTGCTATCTCCCCTTTTCATCCAGTTCAGACCTTCAACATTTCATTCTTCTGCCAGAATGATTTGAATAAGTCACCACTTCTCTGTCCAGGTACATTCAAAGACTTCCCATTGATGAAAGTATGAAATTTTTTCTCTTAAAATGGTATTCCCGTCCTTTCTTAAGCTGACTCCTGCCCACTTCCAGCCTCATGCTTCTTCAGTTTTTGAAATAAATTATGTTGTTTCACATATCCATTTTATGCATTTATGCCTTGTGTGTGCTGTTCCTTCTACCTATAATTCCCTTTTCTATGTGTTTGCCTGGAAAATCTCTACTTATCCCTCTAGACTCAGCTTTAGCATTATCTCCTCTATAAACCTTTCTTGACTCTCTTGATCTGCCAAACAGATACGATTGATCACTCTTCAGTGCTAGCACAGAACATGGAAGGTCTCACCATCTTTTTGTTGTTTGTATCTATGATGAAACCGTGAATTACTTGAAAAAAATAATTTTCTTGCTTACCATTAATTCCCAAGGCCGAGCACAGAATCTGAAACAGAATATATGTCTAGTAAACGTTTGTTGCATTAAATTTTAAATTAATACAATATACAACATTGTTTTATTGGGAAAGTGCCTTCTAAATTCCAACTTTAAAAGCCAGAAGCATATCTCCATCTCAACCTTGCCATAGAATGAAAATTTCTGGGGCCATCCCTCCAAAAATAACAGAGTAGCGTTTTTGATCAATAGGTGCAGGGACTCTATTAAGTGGGCCAAACCAGAAATAGATACCAAGGCACACACCCACATGAGCTTTCACCATCTATAGTGGAAAAATCACTTGCCAAGATCAGTCATTCCTGGAATTCTAATTTGGAAAATTAAAAAAAGGCAGCTTGGGGAGCATCCAGCTTCTAGGCTATAGGATCAAAGTGGCTGCCACTATAAATATCAGCTGTGAGTAGAAACTGGCTAGGTAGCCATATTCTTTGATTATGAGTGAAATTATGTAAGCCCTAGAGTAGTATCACCATATATTCCAACAATAAATATTTATTGAACAACTTTTGTGTTCAGGCTGTATTCTAGGTGCTGATGATTCAGTAGTGAATAAGACAGAAAAGAAACCTACCTTATATAACTTGTATTTTAGAGAGTAAAAAGTAAAGATTGGAAACAAATATAAAAGCTCCCTGGTGGCCAAAACCACCAGGCTATAGCAAAAAGCATGGTGAGATACTTCCATGTTCATTGCAGCATTATTCATAATAGCCAAGATACGAAACAGCACTTGTGTTGTTCATGAACAACACAAACAGATGAATGGATAAAGAAAATGTGGTATATACATACAACAGGATATTATTCAGTCTCATAGAAGAAGGAAATCTTGCCATGAGAAATGGCATAGATGAACCTTGCAGACATTATGCTATGTGAAATAAACCAGTCACAGAGGGGCAAATACTGCATGGTTCCACTGATTCGAGATACCTGTAAATAGTCAAACTCATAGAAGCAGAGAATACAATAGGGGTTGTCAGGGTCTGGAAGGTGGCGGAAATAAGGGATTCTTAGTCAATGGCTACAACATTTCAGTTATGCTGTATGAATAAATTCCAGAGACCTGCTGTACAATATTATCATTAACAGTAGTTATAAGGCACTTTTACTCTTTGCTGGTGGTGAGTCAGAGAAAGCCAAGAGGCAGTACAATGTTGTGGTAAAGCACCTAGGCTTTGGCATGTATCTGTATCCATGACCCTCATCTACCACTTATTAGCTATGTAACTTCTGTAGTTAGTCACATAACCTCTCTAAAACTTAAATTTCTCTTCAATAAAATACCTAACTAATTGGGTTGTTGTGAGGATTAAATAAAATAATCTGGACTTTTAAAAAGGAGGAGAGAGTCTTACATAGGCTTCTAAGATGTGCTATTTTGTCAAGTTGGTCAACTATCATCTATTATAACCATCATTTTATTCAAAAGTTACAATTTTGGCACCAAAATTTGTGAACATAAACCCAGATTTTAAATATTAACTTTTTTCTTTCTGTTTTATTTCATTTTTAACAGATTTATTAAGGTATAATTGATCTACAAAGAATTGCACAAATTTAATGTATACAATTTTATGAGTTTGGACAAGTGCATACACTGTGATATCATCACCATGTTTAAGGTCATAAACATATTCAACAACTTCCAAAAGCGTTTGGGTCCCTTTACTTTGTTTTGTTCTGTTTGTAGTAAGAACAGTTAACATACGATCTACCCTCTTAAAAAACTTTGATGTGTGCAATACACTGTTAACTATAAGCGCTATGCTGTATATCAGATCTCTGGAATTTATTCATATAGCATAAATGAAATGTTATAGCCATTGATCAAGAATCCCTTATTTCCCCCACTTTCCCCCACCTTCCAGACCCTGGTAACCACTCTTGTATTCTCTACTTCTATGAGTTTTGCTATTATAGATACCTCGAATCAGTGGAATCATGAAGTATGTTCCCTTCTGTGACTGGCTTATTTCACTTAGCATAATGTCTTCGAAGTTCATGTATGCTGTTTCTAACGGCAAGATTTTCTTATTCTATAAGGCTGAATAATATTCCATTGTATGTATATACGACATTTTTATTCATTCATCTGTTCATGTTGTTCATGAACATTTGGGTTGTTTCACATCTTGGCTATTGTGAATAATGTTGCAATAAACATAGGAGTGTCAATATCTCTTTGAGATTCTGGTTTCAATTCTTTGGGTAAAAATCTAGTGGTGGGATTGGTGGATAATATAGTAGTTCTATTCTTAATTTTCTTTGAAGAATCTACATACTGTTTTCCATATTGGCTTCACCACTTTCCATTCCCACTGGTAGTGGACAAGGGTTCCAATTTCTTCACATCCTCATCAACACTTGTTATCATTTTAAAATGATAGTCATCCTAACAGGTGTAAAGTGTTATCTTATTTGTAGTTTTGATTTGCATTTCCATGAAAATTAGATGTTGAGCATGTTTTTATATATCTGTTAAGTATTTGTATGACTTCCTTGGAGAAACGTCTGTTCAAATCATTTCCCTATCTTTAATCGAGTTGTGTGTGTGTGTGCATGTGTGTCTGTATGCTGTTGAGTTTTAGGATTTCTCATAAATTTTGGAAATGAACTCCTTAATAGATATATGATTGGAAAATATTTTCTCTAATTATGTAAGTTGCCTTTTCACTCTGTAAATTATTTCTTTTGCTGTGTAAAAGCTTTTTAGTTTGGTGTAGCCCCACTTATATATTTTTGCTTTTGTTTTTTGTGGTGTTTATGTTACATTCAAGACATTATTGCTAAGATCAATATGAAGAGAATTTTTGCCTATGTTTTTTCTAGAAGTTGTACAGTTTCAAGTTTTATGGTAAGTCTTTATTTTGAGTTGATTGTTGTGTATGGTATAAAGGAAAAGTTCAATTTCATTTTTTTTTTTGCATGTGGATATCCAGTTTTCCCATCAACATTTATTGAAGAAACTACTCTTTCCCTTTTGTATATTTTGGCACCCTTGTCAAAGATCAATTAACCATATATGTGTGGATTTATTTCTGTGCTCTCTCTTCTGTTCCATTGGTCTATACATTTGTCTTTAGGTCAGACTAATATTGTTTTGTAATTACTGTAGCTTTGTAATAAAATTTGAAATGAGGAAATATGAAGACTCCAGCTTTGTTCTCTTTTTGCTAGTTCACTTTGGCTATTCTCAGTCTTTTTGTTGTTGTTGTTCCTATATAAATTTTAGGGTTTTTTTATTATTGCTTTAAAAAATGCCATTGAGACTATAATGGGGATAGCATTGAATCTGTAGATCACTTTGGATAGTATGGACATTTCAAAATATGAAGTCTTTCCATCCACAAACATTGGATACCTTTTCTTTGTTTGGGTCTCTTTTAATTTCTTTTTTCAATGTTTTGTAGTATTCAGTGTACAGGTATTTCACCTCCTTGGTTATCTTTATTCCAAAGTATTTTATTCTTTTTTATCCTATTGTAAATGGGATTGTTTTCATAATTGTCTTTTCAGACAGTTCACTATTGGTGTATAGAAAAGCTTCTGATTTTTGCTGTTGATTTTTTATCCTGAAACTTTACTGAATTTGTTTATTAGTTCTAACAGTTTTTCTGTGGAGTCGTTATGGTTTTCTACATAAAGAAATAAATGAGAGGACAAGAAAGAAAATTACCTTCCTGTTTCATTTTAGATAATTCCCATTGACCAGAAAGTTTACTGATTATTTCTTCAGCTGTGTCTTATTTGATGGTAAGGCTGCTGAAAGAATGAATCTATAATATCATAGAATTTTGTTGCTTTGTTTTTAGCATATTAATTAATTTCTCATAGTTTCCCACTTTCTACTAAAATTCACCATCTGATAATGCATGTGATCCACGTTTCCACTAAATGCCTTAATATATATTCATCATTACATTTCATACAATTTTTAGGTGAAAAATAATTCACATCCCATAAAATTCACTCTTTTAAGATGTGCAATTCAGTAGTTTATATTCACAAAGCTATACACAATTATTACTATCTAATTCCTGTATATTTTCATTATCCCCAAAAGAAACTATGTAACAGTTAGTAGTTTCTTCCCAATCCACCTCACAGTCTCTCACAGTCTCTAACAGACTTTGAGTCTATGAATTAGACTATTCTGGACTTTTCACGTAAGTGGGATAATGCATTATGTGGCCTTTCGTGTCCAGAATTTTTCACTTGAAATGAATTAGCACTTCATTCTTTCTTATGGTTAAATATGATTCTACTATATGCACATACCATATTGTATTTATCAATTCATCTGTTGATGGTAATTTTGATTGTATCTAATTTTGGTCATTATGAATAATGTTTCTACAGAAATGTGTGTAAAAGGCCTTTTGTAGTTGTTGTTTATTTTTATTTATTTATTTATTTATTTATCTATTTATTTATTTATTTATTTATTTTTGAGACCGAGTCTCACTCTGTCAACCAGGCTGGAGTGCAGTGGCACAATCTCGGCTCACTGCAACCTCCGCCTCCCAGGTTCAAGAGATTCTCCTGCCTCAGCCTCCCGAGTAGCTGGGACAACAGGCACGTGCCACCACACCCGGCTAATTTTTTGTATTTTTAGTAGAGACAGGGTTTCACCATGTTAGCCAGGATGGTCTCAATCTCCTGACCTCATGATCTGCCTGCCTCAGCCTCCCAAAGTGCTAGGATTACAGGTGTGAGCCACTGCACCTGGCCTCCATATTCTTTCTAACACTTGCTACTGTATGCCTTTCTTATCATAGCTATCCTAATGGGTGTGAAGTGGTATTTCATGGTGCTTTTGGTTTCCATTTCCCTAATGACTAAATGATACCCTGCATATTTTAATATGCTAATTGGACATTTATATGTAACCTTTAGAGAAATGTCTATGCAAATTATTTTCACATTTTGGGTTTCTTTATTGTTATATTGGAATAGTTTTTATATATCTTGAATAACAGTTTCTTGTCAAATATAGAATTTATAAATATTTCCTCTCATTCTGTGGGTTGTCTTTTTACCTTTTCTTAGCATCCTTTGGAGAAAAAAAATTTAATTTTTTTTTTTTTTTAGACTGAGTGTTGCTCTGTCACCCAGCCTGGAGTGCAGTGGCACGATCTCAGCTCACTGCAAGCTCCACCTCCCGGGTTCACACCATTCTCCTGCCTCAGCCTCCCGAGTAGCTGGGACTACAGGCGCCCGCCACCATGCCTGGCTAATTTTTTGTAATTTTAGTAGAGACGGGGTTCACCGTGTTAGCCAGGATGGTCTCGATCTCCTGACCTCGTGATCCACCCACCTCGGCCTCCCAAAGTGCTGGGATTACAGGCATGAGCCACCATGCCTGGCCAAAAAAATTTAATTTTTATAAAGTTATACTTATATATCTTTTTCTTTTGTCACTTCTGCTATCTAACAAACTATTACCTAATCCAATGTAATGAAAACATTATTCCTAGGTTTTCTTCAAAGATTTTTATAGTTTTAGCTTTTATATTTGAATCTTATATCCATTTTCAGTTAATTTTTGTGTAATGAATGAGACTGAGATACAAATTTGTTATTTTGAATGTGGGCCAATTATTCCAGCATCATTTGTAATAAAGGCTATTTTTCCCAATATAATTAACTTGACATTTTTGTTAAAAATTGATTGACCATAATCATACAGCGGTATTCTGGACTTTCTTTTTTTAAACTTTTATTTAGGTTCAAGGGTACATGTACAGGCACTTGTGTCATGAGGGTTTATTGTACAGATTATTTCATCACCTAGGTACTAAGCGTAGTACCAAATAGTTTTTTTTGTCTGCTCCTCTTTCTCCTCTCACTCTTCACTCTCAAGTATGCCCCAGTGTCTGTTGTTCCTCTCTTTGTATCCGTATGTTCTCGTCATTTAGCTCCCACTTATAAGTGAGAACATGCAATATTTGGTTTTCTGTTCCTGTGCTAGCTTGCTAAGGATGATGGCTTCCAGCATCATTCATGTTAATGCAAAGGACATGATCTCATTCTTTTTTTATGGCTGCACCGTGTTCCACAGTGTGTATGTATCACATTGTGTTTATCTAATAGGCCATGGATGAGCATTTAAGTTGATTTCAATATTTGCTATTGTGAGTAGTGCTGTGATAAATACATGTGGGCATGGGTCTTTATGGTAGAAAGATTTATATTCCTTTGGCTCTATACCCAGTAACGGGATTGCTGGGTCAAATGATAGTTCTGTTTTCACTTCTGCGAATTGCCACTCTGCTTTCCACAATGGTTGAACTAATTTACACTCCCACCAACAGTGCATAAGTGTTCCCTTTTCTCTACAACCTCGCCAGCATCTATTACTTTTTGACTTTTTCATAGTAGCCATTCTGACTGGTGTGAGATGGTATCTCATTGCGGTTTTGATTTGCATTTTTCTAATGATCAGTGATATTGAGGTTTTTTTCATATGCTTACTGGATGCAGGTATGTCTTCTTCAGCAAAGTGTCTGTTAATGTCATTTTCCCACTTTTTAATGTGATTTTTTTTTTTTTCTGGTAACTTTTTAAAAGTTCCTTTAACTAGATATGAGAACTTTGTCAGATGCATAGTTTACAAATATTTTCTCCCATTCTGTAGAGTGTCTGTTTACTCTGTTGATAGTTTCTTTTTCTTGCAGAAGCTCCTAAGTTTAATTAGATTCCATTTGTCAATTTTTGCTTTTGTTTCTATTGCTTTTGATGTCTTTGTCATGAAATCTTTGCCAGTTTCTATGTCCAGCATGATATTGCCAAGTTGTCTTTCAGGGTTTTTATAGTTTTGGGTTTTGCATTTAAGTATGTTTTCCACCTTGAGTTAATTTTTGTATGTGGTGTAAGGAAGGGGCCCAGTTTTAATATTCTGCATATGGCTAACCAGTTATTCTAGCACCATTTATTCAATAAGGAGGTCTTTCCCCATTGCTTGTCAGTCTTGTAAAAGATTGCATGGTTGTAGGGGTGTGGCCTCATTTCTGGACTCTCTATTCAATTCCATTGGTCTATGTGCCTATTTTTTGTACTGGTACTATGCTGTTTTGTTTACTGTAGGCCTGTAATATAAAGTAGGGTAACGTGATGCCTTCAGCATTGTTCTGTATGCTTAGGATTACCTTGGCTATTCAAGCTTTTTTTGTCCCATATAAATTTTAAAATAGTTTTTTATGCTTTTGTGAAAAATGTCATTGGCAGTTTGATAGGAATAGCACTGAATCTGTAAATTGCTTTCACATATGGCCATTTTAATAAGATTGATTTTTCCTTTTCATTAGCATGGAATGTTTTTCCACTTGTTTGTGTCATCTCTAATTTTTTTAAGCAGTGTTTTGGAATTCTCATTGTAGAGGCCTTTCACCTTCCTGCTTAGCTGTATTTCTAGGTATTTTGTTCCTTTTGTGGCTACTGTGAATGGGATTACATTCTTGATTTGGCTTTCAGCTTGGATGTTGTTGGTGTATAGGAATGCTACTTATTTTTGTACGTCGATTTTGTATCCTGAAATTTTGCTGAAGTTATTAATCAGACAAAAACCACATGATTATCTCAATGGATGCAGAAAAGTCTTTCAATAAAATTTAACATGTTAAAAATCCTCAGTAAACTAGATATTGAAGGAACACCTCAAAATAATAAGAGCCATCTATGAAAAACCCACGACCAATATACCAAATGGGCAAAAGCTAGACTCATTCCCTTTGAAAACTGGCACAAGACAAAGATGTTCTCTCTCACCACTGCTATTCAATATAGTGTTGTAAGTCCTGCCCAGAGTAATCAGGCAAGAGAAAAAAATAAAGGGCATCCAAATAGGAAGAGAGGAAGGCAAGCTACACATATTTGCATATGACATGATCCTATATCTACAAAACCCCATTGTCTTGGCCCCAAAGCTCCTTTAGCTTATAAGGAGAAGTTCTCTATCAGGTGAGAATTTCCCGGATTACCAGGCAGATACTACTGTTTTCTTTCCTTACTTTCTCCCAAACAAACTGATTATATTTTTCTGTGCTGAGCTGCCTGGAGCTGGGGAAGGGGTGACACAAGCACCCTGTGACCACACTACTTCAACTGTGCTAGGTCATACCTGAAGCCAGCACAGCACTGGGTCTTGTCCAAGGCCTGCAGTGACCACACTGGCAGAACATCTTGAGTCAGGGGCTTCCAGATCATAAGTAGATAATGTCCCTTGCTATTGCCTATGTTCACTCAATGCCCAAAGACTCTACAATCAGCAGGTGGTGAATCCAGCCAGGCTTGTGTCCTTCCATTCAGGGTGGTGATTTCCCCTCGGTCCGTGGCTGATCTACAGATGCCATCTGGGAACAAGGGCCATGAGTCTGAAACCCTAGGAATCTACCTGGTTCACTATGCTAGTGTGGCTGAGCTGTCACCCAAGCCACAAGTCAAAGTCTTTCCTATTTTCTCTCCTGTTTCCTCAAGCATAGAAGTTTATTCCCTCAGTCACCATCACCCCTGGCTTACAGCAAGTACTGCCTGGCTACCGCTGATGGTCAAACAAAGCCCAAGAGTTCTCCTGTCAGGTTGGAGTAAATGCTGCCAGCCCTGAGTCTCTCAGTTCTGGGCAGTTGGCTCATCTTTGGCCCAAAGCAGGTCCAGACATGCCATCCGGGAGCCACAGCCTGGAATTGTGGATTCCAGGAGCTCTCTCAGTGTTCTCCACATAACTATGGCCAAGCTGGTACCCCAAATGCAAGACAAAGTCCCCTTTATTTTTCCATCTCCTTTCCTCAAGCACAGGGTGTCTCCACCATATCTTCCACAGCCAGAAATGTGCTGGGTCACACCTGAAGCCAGCATGACTCTGTGACTCATCCAAGGCCCACAGCAAATACTCCCTGGCTACTACTGATGATTATTCAGGGCCCAAGGGCTATTTGGTCAGCAGGTGATGAATTCTGCCAGGGTTTTTTTTTTTTTTCAAGGCCGTTGGTTCTCTTCTGACCCAGGTGTGTTTGAAAATGTCACCCGGGAGGTAGGTCCTGGAATGAAGGCCTCAGGACTCTGCCTGGTACTCCATTTTACTGAGACTAAGCTGGTTTCCAAATTGTAAGACAAAGTCCTCCTTACTCTCCCCTCTCCTCTCCTCAAGCTGAGGGAAGGAATCCTGGTGTTTATAAACCAAAAGTTATCTGAGTCAGGTCTCAATCAATTTAGAAAGTTTATTTTACAAAGGTTAAGAATGTGCCCATGTCACAGCATCAGGAGGTGCTGACGACATATGCCCAAGGTGGTCAGGGTACAACTTACTTTTAAATATCTTTGGGAGAGATGAGATATCGATCAATATGTGGAAGATGTACATTTGTTCAGTCCAGTAAAGTGGAACAACTTGAGGCAGGGGCTTCCAGGTCATAAGCAGATAAAAGATAAATGGTTGAATTCTTTTGAGTCCTTCATCAGCCTTCCACTGAATACACAATTTAGTCTGGCTCAGTGAATCTACATTTTTACATAAACAATAGGGCAGAGGAAGCAATCAGATATGCATTTGTCTCAGGTGAGCCTCAGAGGGATGACTTTGAGTTCTGTCTGTCGTTTGTCCGCAAGGAATTTCACTGTGGGCAAATTGTGCGTGAGGTATGTAGCTTTTTATCTTTGTAGCTATCTTATTTAGCAATAAAATGGGAGGCAGGTTTGCCTGATGTAGTTCCCAGCTTGACTTTTCCCTTGGCTTAGTGATTTGGCAGTCCTGAGATTTATTTTCCTTTAGCAGGTTCAGGAGGGGTGACACAAGCACTCCTTCAGCCTCCCCAGCTGATATCTCACTAGGTCACATGCACCCCAAGTCCACTGGCTCTGAGCCCAGCACAGTACCCAGAATTTGCCTAGGATTTGCAGTCCTTGTGGCCTAGCCTGCATTTCAAGTTTATTTACAACCCAGAACACTTTAGTCTGCATTAATGGGTCATCTTCTGACCACAGGGATGAATGATTAGCCTCTGGCTAGGGCTTAGCTAAATGCTGCCTCTTTAGGTACCAGCTGAATTCTGCCTGGTGTTGCTTTCTGCTATAACAGGGCAACAGAGTTCCAATGCAGTGTGCCAGTCACTGCACTCTCCCTCCCCAGAACACACAGATTTTCTCTTCCTGTGCCATGTCATACTGCCAGGGAATGGAGAAGTAGTGTAGACAGTTCAAAACTGTATTTCCTACCCTCTTCAGTGCCTCTGTTCTTAATATGATATTAAAGCCTGGTATTGCAATTGCTCACTATTTTTGGTTCTTATGAAGGCACTTACATGTGGGTAGTTATTTAATTTTATGTTCTTGCAGAGGAAACAATTACTGTAGTCTTCTATCTGGCCATCTTGCTCCATCTCCAATATTCTTCAGCTATTATTGTTGAATTGCCGATTTCTCCTTTCGATTCTTTCAATTTTTGCTTTATATATTTTGGAGCTTTCTTATTAGTCCATTATGTGATCTCAATGGACTAAAATTTTATCCATATTTAATGTCTATTTTTTAAACCTCTGGTAATACATTTTTTTGTCATAAATTTCTATAACCACTCAAATTCTCTTTTAGTTATGGTTTGAGTCATGTATGTTTTCCCATCATTTTTATTTCATCCTCTTTGTACCTTTTAATCTACAGTGTGTCACTTGTGGACAGCACATATTTGGGTAACGTTTGTTTTTTCTTTGTACCCATTGGCCAGTCTCTGCCTTTTCATTGACATGTTTCTTGAAGTGGAACAAGACCACGGAAAGAGACTCCTTTCATAGCATAGGTATGTACAGACTAATAAATCTAAGGGTAGAATAAGAACCATGAGAAAAGCCTTCTTGAACCACAGATCTATGCAATGATACCTAGGATCAGCTCTCACAGAAGTACAGAAAGTGAATTTATAGGATGCGATTAGAGGGGTCAAAAATTTGGCACCCTGAAGAAATGCTCAAACTCTGTTCTGAATTTTACAGGATGGAGCATACTGGTCCCTCGTGTGCTCTCTGTGATGGGGAGGGGAGTGAGGTACTCTTTGCTCATAAACTCTTCTTCAAGCATCCCTCCATTTTTCACCTTTGGATCCTTACTTTCAAGAAGCAATTATAGTCTGGTTGCGGTGGCTCACACCTGTAATCCTAACACTTTGGGAAGCTGAAGCGGGCGGGCAGATTGCTTGAGCTCAGGAGTTTGAGACCAACCTGACCAACATGGTGAAACCCCGTCTCTACCAAAATATGCAAAAATTAGCCAGGTGTGGTGGTGTGTGGCTGTAGTCTCAGCTACTCAGGAGGCTAAGGTGGAAGAATCACTTGAATCCAGGAGGCAGAGGTTTCAGTGAGCTGAGATTGCCACCACCACCACTGCACTCCAGCCTAGGTAACATCGTGAAACCCTGCCTCCAAAAAAAAAAAAAAAAAAAAAGAACAAGAAGAAGAAGGAGGAGAAACAGTTACCTTCACCATATAGATAAACACTATGTGACTTTAGTTATATCTGATGTGTACTGTTATTCCTATGCTATTATAATACCTTTGGCCCTAAGGACAAATTTCTTTAAGAGATATGCAAGTTTCTTTATGGGTTGAGCTTTGTCTACCACTCCAGCCTCATCTTTCATCACTCCCCACCTTACACTCTAATCATATCAAACATCTTGTAGTCCCTAGAATGCATCATGTTATCTCATGCTCTCCCTCCCTTTGCACATTTGCTTGGAATGCCCTTCTCTCTCAAGTTTTTAGCTGCAGTTGACTCAAACTTCACTAGTGAAATGAGTTAATATGAAGGTAAAACAAAGTAACTTATGTTAAGCACAAGGTACAGTACTTGATCTTCATTTATTTGCTTATTCATCCATTCAACAAAAGAATACTAAATTTCTGCCATATGCATATAATTGGGCTAGATGCTTTGACTACAGAAATTAATGCATTCTGGTCTCTGCCTTCAAGTAGCTCAGAGGTTTCGAAAATAATCTAACAGGTTAATAAATGCAACGGGATAAGACATTATTTCTGTGCTACCTCTTAAAAGGTGAATAGGAGATTGCTTAAAAACAGATTATAGGGTGTGAATTAAGAGGTTGGGTGGAGGGGTGGACAATGATTCCCGGCAAAGTGGGTAGCTTGTACAAAAGCCCATTGATTAGAGAGGGGCATGGTGATTTAGGAAACTATACCATATGTAGTATGCATGTGTGGAACTGGGAATAAAGGAGAGTTAGAAACCCGTAATAGGCATTTAATATTCTAGTTTCTTTCTTTCTCTATCTCTATTCCCCCCTCTCTCTCTTTCTGTCTCTTCTTCTATCTCCTTCTTTCTTCCTCTTTCTTTTTGTTTGCTGAATATCTCTTTCATCATGTTACCTCAAAAACCAATGTAACTCCCTATGCATATTCTTCTGATTGCTTGTTAAATTCCTTCATAATTTGGCTCCTCCTTAACTATCCATTATTTTCTCCAGTTACTCCATAACACATACTCTCTGCTCTAGACAGGCTGGTCTCCTCACCACCTTTAAATGCGTATAATCATTTCAACTCCTGCACATTTGCTTATATTATTTACCCTATGTAAAGTACCGTCTCTGCTTTCACCTACTAGGGATGGCAAACTCTAATGCTTACAAAGATCAGGCAGGTAATATAAATGAGTACAGCTGACCAGGTATAATGCAATAGGGGCTATGGTAAGCTTCAGTTTTCTAATATTTTAAATGGTACTGTAAAATCGACCTAACAGGTTTTTCTTGAGGTTAAAATAAAATTATGAAGGTAAAGCAAGTGATTCAATACAATAATACCAAAATATTTAATAACTGGTAGTATTTATTTTTTGCTGAGATGTTCTACTTTTTATTTGTTTGAAGATAAGTTGTAATTGTTTTTTGAAGCATTTATCACAGCTACTTTGAAATCATTGTTCACTATGTCAACTATCAGTGTCTATCTCAGTGTTGCTGTCAGTTTTTTCTTTTCTTATTCAGGTTGTGATTTTCTGGGTTCTTGATATGACAGGTGATGATTTTAGTTGTATCATAGACTTTTTGCCTATTATTTCAGTATTCTCTGGGACCTATTGAACCCCTTTATTTTACTAGACAGTCAACCTGTGTAGGGTTAGCATACAGGTCCTGGCATAGCTTTTTGAGTTCTGGTTTCAATGGCACTTTAATTGTCTAGCCTCTGCTGGATTATTTTGGTCTCCACAGTTTAACTGGTGCTGCTACGGCTCCCACTGTTTCCTGCTGGTGCTGTCTTAGGAGACGGAAAAGGACTAGCCAGGCTGACCCTCTGAGGGGGGTGGCTCTCTACTGAATTCCCTCTGCTGATGCTGCAGTCTCTCTGGTCCAAAGTAGATAGTAGGAGAATCATGACCCAAAAGGACAAAGGGACTTCCCAGGCAGCCACTTGTTATGGCTATGTCCCTCCTACAAGTTTTGCGTACTATGCTTACCATTCACTGTGTCTCTGGGTTTAGGAGAAGAATCTTGGGGTTGGGGGCGCAGAGTCTTCCTGGACCAGGGTGCATGTGTCTGCCAGACTCAATATCTCTCTGTAGGGGAAGACAGTCTGAGGCCTGGCAGGAGTGTCTCCACTGGCCTCTTATGTTTGGCTGGGTGCTCATTTGATACTCCTTTTTGGAAGTGTCACATGGACTCCAGATTTTTTTTGTTTCTGTTTTTTGTTTTTTGTTTTTTTGAGATGGAGTTTCACTTTTGTCACCCAGGCTGGAGTGCAATGGAATGATCTTAGCTCACTGCAACCTCCCCCTCCCAGGTTCAAGTGATTCTCCTGCATCAGCCTCCCGAGTAGCTGGGATTACAGGTGTGCGCCACCATGCCCGGTTAATTTTGTATTTTTAGTAGAGACGGGGTTTCACCATGTTGGCCAAGCTGGCCTCGAACTCCTTACCTCAGGTGATCCACCCACCTCAGCTTCGCAAAGTGCTGGTATTAAAGGCATGAGCCACCATGCCCAGCCTGGACTCCACTTTTATCCAAGAAAGGAATGAGCCTACGAGGGCTACCTTCTGTTGCTAGGTGGTAGACAGAACAAAACCAGGTCTAGATGACCTTCTTCTATTGGGTGGCGAAACACTAAACCCTGTTTAATTTCATCTTATCATCTTTCAGAGTTATTCTTTATTTCTCTTTTTGGCCATTTGGGGGTTTATAATTTTATTTATTAAGGAGAACAGGAAAATAAATATCTATCATTTTATTAGGACAAAAAAAAAACACATTTCTTCCCAACAAAAGCATAAATGAAAGAAAAAGTAGTGTAGACTGGGTGACAGGATTAATGATAATATTGAGGTTTTTAGTTGACAAAAAAAGTTATAGTGTACAACATAATATTTTGATATATGTACATATTGTGGAATGGCTATATTAAGCTAATTAACATACACATTATTTTTCTATTTAAGTAAACTCGAAACTATAAAATTTGTCATCCCAGAAATAATATGATATATTGGAATAAGGTTTGGAATCCTGAATTTGGTTTCCAGCTCTATCAATTCTTGGTGGGGTAATACTGGGCAAGTGGCTTAATTTCTTCTAGTTTCACTTCCCTGGACTTAAAATCAATCTCTTTTTTAGGACTTTGTGGGTATTAAATGAGATAATGTATGTACTGTATTTCGCGCAGTGTCTGGTCACTATTCACTAGATGGTAGTTATTGAACTATTTACGTATAATTAACATTACTTTTCTAGAACCTCATTTTCTTCTAGGACAAAGGTCAATTCTTTGACCACTAAGTGACTTTTAGAGTAATTCCTCCATTCTTGAGGTCAAAATTATGTAGCTTCTTCCTAAGGATAGCCAAATTCCAGCCTATGGGCTGTCTCTGGCCAAGACAGTATATACTGTACTGTATGTATCTGTACAAGCACTTAGTTTTTCTCTCCTTTGTCTGCTGAAAGCAGGGATCATCATTTCAGAGTGACAACAGATGCTTCTTTATTAAAACTGTATTCAGTGAGAGGAAGGAAAGAGAGACAGACACACACAAGAAGGAAAGAGGCATGGGTCATAGCACCACATTTATTCAGAGGCCACCATGTCAGAAAAAAATGTGCACACCAATTGTAATTTGTTTTTTCCACTTTATTTGATTTCTTTCAAGTAGGAATTTCTTGTTGCCTTAGATACTAATTAAATCTCAGTTACTGAGAACTTCCCAGTGGACTTTCAATGCTGTGATGAATGGACAAATACTATATTTATTATACTCCATAGCAGGAAATTTTATAGAGAATTTTGGTTTCAGTGAAGTGGCTAGCTTTGTCTTCATGTGTATGTGCTTGTTTTGTGTTCAGTGCAATCAGAAACATACACCATGGGAGAGATTAAGCTTAGGGTAGTTGTTTGTTTATTTTCATATTTTGGTCTATCTTGTAATTTTCTTATATAATAAGATTATTAACATAAAACTGGTGCCCTTTTAAAGATAATGCTCCATGTAACTCACTATCTTAATCTGTAGATTGTATTTAGATTCATATTTGCTCACTGTTCTCAACTACCATGTTCTAACTCTAGCTGCCTCAACACATTATAATAACACACCAGTTGAAACAGGAAAAATTTAGTCAAACTAGTGATTGGATATCAAACAGAATAAAAACCCATTCCAAACTGTCTACTTGGATTGAGAATTGTTTTTGCAACTGAACTCAACCACTCTCTTCAGTAGGAGAATGTAAAGACTGGAAAGAAAACTGTGTTGAGAAAAATTTCTGGAGAACTAACCAGAAAGTTAATTCTGTCTGGCACTGAATTCAAGTTCCATTCCTTTGAGGTGTTTGGAGTTTGAATGAGACCAGGAGTAATACAGATCATCCTGGTTAAGTTAACAACTATGCGGCTTAGACATGTATGTAGATGATGAATTATTGAAATATTTGCTAAGCAGAAAGCCAAGTGCTCAGTTGTCCCTCATTAACAAAGACAACCACCTTTAAAAGAGATGTGGCGGCATAGAAAGAACAGGCCTTTGAAGTTAGGCAGACCTGACTTTGAATCGCAATTATTATTTATGTGACTTTGAGGTGGTTACATAATTTCTCTAGATCTCAGTTTCCTTATGTATAAAATGGGGATAATCAAATCTTTGATAATTCAGTTTATTGGGAAAACACTAATAACCTCAAAGGAAAATGACCAAAGAAGACAAGCAACTTATAGAAGAACAAAATATGAATAACCGAAAAGCAAGTGTGAAAAATTTCCAACTCACTAAAAATAAATACACATTAAATGGGATGTCATTTTTCTCTCTATCAAATTAGCAAAGATTTCAAAAATAATAATGCAGTGTTGATAATGATGTGGTAAATGAGCATCCTTGTATACTGCTGGAATGTAAATTGGCCCAATATTTCTGAAAAGCAATTGAAAAACATATCAAAATACTTCAAACAGTTTATGATGTATGACATAGGAATTTCCCTTCTAAGAAGTTGGTCGAAAAGAACAGTAAAAAACCCAACAAATATACAAAGTCATTCATTGCAGCATTATTTATAATAACAACGTTGAAAACCTACAGGAGCAACAATAGAAAAGAGATCAAGTAAATTATGATGTATCATCTTCAAGAAATATTATGCAGTTTTCAAATGGTATTTAAATAATATTTAATTTTATGAGAATACATTCATAATATGAAGACAAACTATATATATATATATGTATATACAGCGTTGCTCCAATTAACAACTATACCTACACTCTTCATGTATGCATGTGTATATCTACAGATATACACAAATATATATGAAATAATAAATGACTGGAAGAAAGGAAATATTTCAAATAGCTGGCTGTAAAGAGATTACAAGTCATCTTTTTCTTTTTTGCTTTTATTACACTTTTCAGTAGCTTTCAAAGTCCCTACAATGAACATATTTCCACAACTAGAACAATGTAGCATGATAGCAGGATTGTTGTGAGGATTAAGTGAGTTACACTTTGTCTAGTGATTTACATACAGCAGGTATGTAATTGTTTCTTTTAAAACATTTGTTTATCATTTTTTGTTTTATTTGACTCATATATGTAACTACAGCCAGAATGTTGACATATTCCCCACCTTTTGCTTCCAGTTTCAAATCCTGCACATCTTTCCAGTTCTGACTCAGAGCTCGTTTATCTCAAAACTTACCTTTCTCTACGACTCCATTTCATTCTTTCAAAATGTATATATAACATGAAAAGTTGTCCATAAGGAATCTGGTAAACGCAAATTAAAATTACAATTGGATATCACTACACATTTATCAGAATGACTAAAATTTATATTAAAAAATAGTGGCAAAACCACATGCTAGCAAAGATTCAGAAAGACTATATTATTCATACATTGCTGGTGGACATGTAAAATTGTACAACTACTCTGGAAAACAATTTGGCATTTTCTTTTAAAAGTAAATGTTCAATTACTCTACTACCCAACAATTGCACTCTGGGGCATTTAATCCCAAAGAAATCAAGACTTAAGTTCTTTATTAATATGTAAACCAATATTTGTAGCTAGTTTATTTATAATATCTAATCACTGGAAATAGCCATGACTTCCTTTGATAGGTGAATGGTTAAACAAATAATGTGTATCCTAGGTACACGGTACACCCATACCATGAGATATTACTCAGAATTTTAAAAAGAATGAACTACTGATAACATGCAACAACTTAAATGAAATTCCAGGCTGAATGCTGAGTGAAAAAAAAGACAATATCAAAAGGTCACATACTGAATAATTAGATTTATGTAACGTTCTTGAAGGGGAAAAATTATAGAGCAGAGTAGATTAATAATTGTCAGGGGTTAGGAATTGGAGTGGGTGGGGCAAAAAGGTGGTAGGTGTGGCTATAAAGAGCTAGAATGAGGGAGATTTGCTAGATATTTAACATGATCATTTTCTATCTTGATTTTGAGGCAACTCTTGATAAAGAAACCTACATAAATGATAGCACTGTAGAGAACTTCACACTCATATACACACACACAGAGGTACATGTACACAAATGAGTATGAGTAAAACTGGGGACTCTAAATAAGACTGGTGGATTATATCAATGTAAATTTTCTAGTTGTGCTCTTATAGGATAGATTTGCAAAATGCTACTATTGGGGAAAACTTGGCAAAGTGTTCAAGTGATCTCTCTGCATCATTTCTTACAACTGCATATGCATCTATAATTATCTCAAGAAAATTTTCAATTAAAGAATGTATATATGCCCTAGACCCTGCACTATCCCATATATATCTTGTTCCCATGTAGACATTTGTTTCCTGTTTGCCACAACTACCTTTGGGCAGACAGTGTCTTCCATTGTTGTATCATGAAAATTCCTAACACCAGGTTGAATCCATCAATTTCACTGGAAAGCAATAACACTCTGCACCTCAAATATTTTTATGATAGTGATAGAACTTGAGATATTTTATTTTTCTTTATATTCCAACAATTCAGTAGTGTTATTATAATGCTTCAATAAATATTATAAGGGTGTTTTGAGCACCTACCATTCCCTGAAAACTGGTAGAATATTGATCTACCAGCAAAAATACCAATAGATATTCTCTACCTTCTAGACATTATTGAAAGCATTGTCGCATAATGATAAAAAGTGATCAAACTGACCTGATTTGAAGTCCCAGCTTTGCCCCTCACTAGCCTTTGGGTAAGTTATTCAACTTCGTGTTTTTTATTCTATAAAATGATAACAATAATAGTTTCTACATAGTAAGGTTGTTATTGACAATTAAATGAGTGTGCAGAAGAATTAGCATAGTGCATGGAATGGAGTAAGTGCTCAATGTTATCTATTTTTCCTATTGCTGATATTCTTCTGTCAATGCCCAATTTAGATGCTACTTAAGTGCTAAACCGTGTGATACAGGCAAGAGGTATACTAATGTATTAGTTTCCTATGGCTGCCATAACAAAGTATCACAAACTTGGTGGATTAAAACAATAGAACTTATTCTCTCACAGTTCTGGAAGCTAACAGTCTGAAATCAAGAGGAAGACTGATTCCTTTTGGGTGCTCTAAGGGGGAATCATTTCCGTGTTTCTTTTCTAGTTTTTGGTGGTTGCCAGTAATCCTTAGGGTTCCTTGGCTTGTGGACTCATCACTTCAATATTTGTCTCCATCTTCACTTGGTGTTCCCCTTGTTTGTCTCTTCCCCTGTTCTTAGAGAACATATTCCCCTGTTCTTAAAGTAAAACCAGTGATATTGAATTTAAGGCTTATCCTACTCCAATATGACTTCATCTTAACTTGATTACAACTGCAAAATTTCCAAATAGGTTCACATTCAGAGGTTGCCAGGGTTAGAGCTTCAACATATCTTTTTGGGAAATACAATTCAACCCCAAACACGATTCATAGGAACTAGAAGCGAGGATAATGACAGAAGACTTAAATAATTAATAAAAGTTTTCTTTTTCTTTTTTTTTTTTTTTTTTTTTTGAGACAGAGTCTCGCTCTTTCTCCCAGGCCGGAGTGCAGTGGCGCGATCTCGGCTCACTGCAAGCTCCGCCTTTCCGGTTCACACCATTCTCCTGCCTCAGCCTCCCGAGTAGTGGGACAGCGCCCAGCTCATTTTTTTTTTTTTTTTTGTATTTTTAGTAGAGACGGGGTTTCACCGTGTTAGCCAGAATAGTCTCGATCTCCTGACCTCTTCATCCGCCCACCTCGGCCTCCCAAAGTGCTGGGATTACAGGCGTGAGCCACCGCGCCTGGCCAATTAATAAAAGTTTTCTTTAGGGTGTGGGACTAGAGGTCTTGCTTTGAGCAGGAAAAGAGAGGTAGTCAAGGGAAGGGAAATAATGTCATGGACATAGACGTGATTAGAAATTGTTCATATTATAAACAAATTAACTACTTCATTTTATCTTTATTTAGGCTCTAGGACTCCAGTTGGGCTTATATTAGCCTGCATGTTCCTTACTAGATTGAGAGCCTTTGGTGGATGGGGATAGCTATTTCTTACCTGTCTGTCTCGTCTGCATTGCCTTCCCCAGGGTTTGGCATAAAGTATGCAATCAGTAAGGGCTTTCTGAACTGAACTTGTTTGATTAGCAAGGAGTTTATAATTGAAGCAGTCTTCCAATTAATGCAAATAGCCTTTTTCTTATGTAAGGCTCACCAAAAACAAATAAATCTGTTTAAAAGATCAGATTCATATACTATGCCTTTCATGAAGATGCAATAGAAAGAGATCTGAGAGGCTGAACCCCTAACAGATGTATAACTTCTCTCTACTATAAGTGGCTGCCAAACTTCTCTTTAATGCCTTCAAGAATGGCCAACTTAGTACTTCCCATAACTCTAATTGTTAGAAAGATTTTTCTTCTTTGTTTGTTTGTTCACTTGCTTCTTTAACTATTTAGGTGAAATGTCTATTTCTGCAATTAAGGCTCACTGGCCTTACTCCTGCCCTCTAGGAATATACAAATTAAGTACTATTATAAAACCATAGTCCAAGAGTGATATTCAGTGCTGAAAGCCAAGGTAGAGAAAGGGCAGTAATATAATCGGCATCCCCAGAGTAAATAAATTCCACTTATATCTCTGATAACTGGACACAAGCATTTTTCTTACTCTGTCTTTATGTCTTTGAATGTGAATTGGAAGGCACAACAGACAAGATTTCTGTTTGATTTGACTCCAGGATGTAGGATGCCCAAATATATTTTTACTCATAAGATGGTTAACTAGGTCAATAGTCTAATATCTGAAAACGCCCGCTTCCCTCTTCCACTTTCTCAGGGCTCCCGAGCACTGAAATACAGCAGGAAACAGGATTGAGTTCCTACCTAGGGGGTGTAAATCATGTCATTTCCTTTTAGGGGAGTCCAGGCAGCCCTCATTTACACACTACCTTTTACTGGTGAGTACATATTACAAGTGAAGAAACTGAGGCTCAATGGGTTAAATGAAGTGCTCAGGTCACAAAGCTGGAGTGGTAGTCTTTCCTAAAGTCCAGAATTCTTTTTAAGTGGATGCTGTAAATTGAAGAATGGGAAGGCATTGTATAGGACAAGAAAAGAAAGTTAACTGGGCAATTTTACAGTGAACCAGCCATAATCAACAAGCTGCTGACCTTGAAAGTTTGTCCCAAAAAGTTTGCCCAGTCTTTGTTACTGTTTAATTTTTAGACACATTAAACCTGAGGAAGAGTGGACTCCCAGCCACACTAACATTGGGCAGATAAATCAAATTTCATCTTCTTTCTAGATGCACCATCCTATAAATAGGACCCACTGGCTCTTCCCCACAAAGTTTGTGCATTCTATGTTGTACACCTAACCTTAGCCTGCCAGTCTAGTACTTATTTTTCCTTAAGGATTGCTATACCATTAAAGGAAAAAAAGGTGTACTGTGTGCTCCTTTGGTCACTTGCTTGCTTTCTTGCAGGCACAGCAACCACTGACAGAGACTTAGTCTACTGGGCCACCAGCAGTCCCATCTATATTAGTCATTCTCTTAAAAAAAGAAGTGAAAATATCATATAGCAGTACTGTGTTTTCATGACAATTTATAATAATAATCATTTGTAGCTTTACCTGGGTATTCAATAATGTAATCAGGTTTGGTGACTTTTGAACTCAATGCCTGCCTGGGTATCAAATAAAATAACAGATCAAGATTATTTTATTGCTATCCACAGGAAGGAAGACTTAGTTCTTGCTTTCTACTGAAAGGCATTCTCCCCTTTCCCTAGTTACATTCCCATTTTATTTATATATTCTTTATGGGTTTTGTCAACACATTGTAAAGAAGAAATTTTTAAAAATCAGCATTACATGATTTCTAAGAGACATTTGCCGAATAGTCACAGAGGTCAACATTCAGTATTCCATAACTTTTACATTTCATTTGAGGTTATATGAAATCCATTTCATGAAATGAGAATACCAGACTGGGGGCATAATCAGAATACTCATCCTCAGAACAATGACACACAAAATTAGGCCATTGAAGCTTCTTTCTATAGGAGGATTCGATGGGACTTCTTGGGGAGGGGGGGAAGTAATTACGAAAATTTTGGCACTAAAAGTTAGACCATAGTACACTGGAATTTTAACTGTAGAACTGAAAGGAGAATAAGATAAACTTAACACCTCAGGAGTTTATTGCTGTCTGGGAAGATCACTTTGGGTTGATAGTATGTTGTATCATGCAAATGTTTAGTCCAGGGACCTCTTTTCCTAACTTCCTCAAGAGATATTCCTATAAGAAATGAAGGTAGCAAAGCCACTTTTTACAAGAGCCCAGTAAAAGAATTTATTTACTTAGATGATATAGCAAACTGGAAGAAAGTCTCTCCTCATTCTTTAGGGAGCCTAGTAAGGTTTTAAATTTTGGTGGAAAGATACTCTTACTCTTTCTACAAGAAAGTAACATCTCTGGTAACACAGCCGGAGACAAATAAGAAGGCATGGACAGGGCCATCAACATGAGTAGCATTAACAAGGTTAAATCCCCCAGTAACAATGTCAAAATCCAACCACCAGGTACAAGTATCAGAGTCTAGAAAATCCACAAGATAACAAAGCAGAGATGGCAAAAGTGGACATAACAGGATAACTTGGCCACACTGAGATACATT